>NC_000005.10:19398729-19701760 GCF_000001405.40 Homo sapiens | reverse complement strand
AGGTGATCTTTGCTCTCCTCAGAAAGGAGAGCTGAGAAGAAACTTGTCCCCTGCTTGCCCAGTCATAAATCAATTTTATCTCTAAGCGGTACTATCTTCTCTTTATTCTTGCTGGACAATAGAGCCAATATGCCTTCATTGCCCCCAAACACTGTTAATACAGGACTTCGGGGGAACCAGACTTTTTCTAAATTTTGAGGGAATATGGGAGATAATTGTGATCTATGACCAAAGGGGTCAACTTGAAACAAATTAAATACCTCCAAATTCCTCATAACTCTGTGTCTTAGGAGACTAAATCTCCTGTTTTTATTTCATAAGGGTCTCATCTCCCTCACTCTTTGGGCCATATTTTTTTGTTTGTTTCTATCTTTTCACTGTCTTCCAGAATGTTCACAGAAACTCAAATATTACTATGCAGAGAAATATGAATCTTCTTTGCCTTACTTTTGTTCACTGACACACTGACACAAACAGGATATTTTATCCTTTTTCAGGAGATATATACAGCAGGGATTTTTTTTCCTCCAAGAGAAGTTGTCCTTCACAGAGCTATCTGATTAAACCTCAGTCATTTTTTAAAACACATAAATTTCCCACTTTGCTAACTAGAGATTTTCCCAAATATACAAGATTTAAAATTTGATATTTTAGCCATATTTTTATCTTTTTCTGTATCTGTATCCTTAGTTAATTTTTTTTTATCATTTACAATAATTTTACTGACCACAATTACTATTTGTCTTTTTGGGATTTCTTGATCGATGCTTATTTTTTTGCTCATTTTTTTTTCTTTTTTTCTCACTTTGTTTCCTCACTTTGTTTCCACACTTTGTTTACTTAAATTTTTTGCACTTTTCTAACAAAATTTCTATTTCCTAATTTTTTTCTCTGAATCAGATAGTAACTAAAGAGTTACACAAGTATGGATTTTAAAGAAACTATGATGGAAACAAGGCCCATAGACTTTTCCTGGGAGATAAATGAAAGCCCTTTCTACTGGGAATGTTTAGATACAAATACATGTACAAGCCTGGGAGTCCACTGAAATTGATTGGCAGTATGGATTTGCTATCAGCATACCTGTGCTTGCAAAAGACCCACAGGAGACTGTCATTCTTAGTTTGTGAAGCAGTCATCCTAAGCAAGAGCAAATGCACACATTAAAAGAGAGTGCTTTCTGCTCACAATCCTTCTCTGTATAGAAACTGTGCATGAAAACCCCAGAAATTAAAGGAAAAGGTAATAACCATTTAAATAACTTAAACAAAAATGAAATCTCTCTATCTCCCCAAACACTGTTTGTATACACAGAGAGACACACAGGCATATACACACACAGTCATGCGCTACACAACTATGTTTCAGTCGACAATGCACCATAATACAATGGTGGTCGCATAAGATTGTAACGTTATGATTTTACTATACTTTTTTATTTGTAGAAATGTCTAGATACGGTATTTCAGTTGTTTAGATATGTGCTGTTGAACACATTGATGTTGTTTGGTTCATGTGAATACAGCACAGATACTCTTATTAAACAAATAAAGTTTGGTTAGGAACCCTGGTTTGTAGTATAAGTTGTACAGAATTGTATTCACTCAGAAGCAAATTAATTTTTATGGAGTATAAGATGATTGCTACTTTACAAAAATATAATTGTATCTTACTCTTTCGAAAGACGAAAGACAAAAGAGGGCATAAGTATTTCTAGAAAAAAATTGTAATAATTCATAAATATCTCAAATTAATTGAATGTATTCTTAAGTTTGTATACATTTAAGGGGTACAAGTACACTTTTGTTACATAGGTATATTTCCTAGCGGTGAAGTCTTGGTTTTCAGTGCAACTGTCACCTTAATAGCGTACACTGTACCTAATAAGTAATATCTCATCAACCACCCCCAGTTTGGGCTGCTATTAATGATATCATAGACTGGGTGGCTTAAACAACAAACATTTCTCACAGTTCTGAAGACTGGGAAGTCCAAGATTATTGCACTATTGTGATGAGGAATCTCCTCCTGATTTATAGATGACTACTTTCTTGCTATGTCCTCACATGGCAGAGAGAGAGATGAAGAGATAGAAACACACACACACACACACACACAGACACACACACACACACACACACACACACATGGAGAAAGAGAGACATCATCTCTCTCATGTGTCTTCATCTTCTTATAAGAGAACTGATCCCATTCGTGAGGGCTTACCCTTATGAACTAATTACCTCTCAAAGGCCCCATCTACAAATACTAACAAATTGGGGATTAGGGATTTAACTTATAAAATTTTTGGGGAAACAAACATTCAGTCCATAACAGGTATAAAGTTGTATCTTAGAATATGAGCTGTGTTGTATAGTTGAACACTGAAGTTGGATTCTGTACACTCCCTGGATCCTGACTACATATTTTTTGAAATATAGTTTGGAAACTCTAACTAGCCTTTCATAGATCAATTGCAGGTTATTTGGGAACATTGAATAAGACAATATGGATGAGGATATATAACCTAATGCAAAATATGAGTGTAATAAGAGATTAATGATGTGCATATAATCAGTGAGTATGCCTGTGCTTGTATGTGTATTGAATAGACACTGAATTAACCTATTACATAAAAATTCTGATTACTTAAGTATTTTAGAATTAGAAATGTACACAAGGATCATGATGGAATATAACTCATATAATAGTTCAGGACAGAAGAAATGCTGATTAGGGTTAAGCTAGTGCTCTATTCTGTTACTGTAAAGGATGGGGACTCAATTATGTTTGGGAACCTGTAGGGAAGAGAAACAGACTGCCACAAACATCCTAAGAAATACTTATGCAAGAAATTATCATTATATCTTATGCTGAGGGCCTGCAGTTGCTACTCAAACTTTGAATCAAACCTGAGATGGTGATCATTCCTGAAGTTTAAATGGTGTAATCACCTATCCCAATCTCTCCAAGACACAGAAATATTGAATATCTCTTTCTTTCTCTCTCTCTTCCACATCTTTTCTCTCCCTTTTCAAAGGTGTCATTTATGTATACATATTATTTTTATTTTTAATTCACATACAGATACCTAAACTATTCCATTTTTAAGAGTAGAAATCATGCCTATTTATATTTTTTATTACATTGATTCCTATTTTACAACATTCTATCTACTTATAATTTTTAACTTATTGTGATTTTAAAGTTTTATTTTATAATTAAAACACATAGCTGTTTTAGAGATCATTATCAAATGTTTGGAGATATTTTATATTTTTATTGAGCCAAATTAGCTTTTGATATAGTCAAGATCCATATATAATATTGAGAACCACCTCTCTCCTGATGCTTGGATTCCAAGGCCTAGTTTTATAGATTTTATAATTCTATGTATTTATTAAATTGTAACATATGGTCCATACACAAAACAATAGCAAGCCTTTGATCTCAATGTGCAAGCTCATAAAATGATAATGCTTTCATAAAAATAGATGAAAGAAATCATTTATTTAAAAAAACTTCCATATCTTAAAATCAGGGGAGAACATTAATCCTTTCACTAAGATAATCTTATTATCCAGAATGTGACCTATTCTTGTATACAGGCTATACTTTCTAATTGCCATATGATGCAGATCTTTGTAAAATGATTTAATGGAACCTGAATTTGCTAAGATAGGTGCATATAAACAGTTATAGATAGAATTTATCTGAGGTTGAGAAGCTGCAGCATTTACAGTATTTAAAAGTAGCCTCACTTGCCAGTGACAGAGAAAGATTCCATGTGAATTTCAGTAAAGTATACCTGAATAAGAGACCCGGAGCAGGCAAGACTATAAACTGCCTTCCTAGACAAAGCCCATGTTCATCTGAAGAGGATAGAGGTGGATCCCTGGGCAGGCACTATGAACACTTAGAGGAATCAACTCTATTTGCTCTTTCTGAAAATTCATGGGATACACCTAAGGCTGTCATTGGCCACTCTTAATGGCATAGGTGTCATTAAGATGAAAGGCTTTCAATTTTTCTTCTTGTGACCCTAACAAAGTGTTTTTTATTCACTTATTCCAGAAATATTAAACTTTCCTTCTCATATTTTCTTCCTTTATGGAAAGTCTAGAGCCTTTTATCAGGAGTATTCAATCATGCCACTTTGTTAAACTTTTTTTCTGATGATTTTTTATATTATTGTGAGAAAGTATAGTCAGAGTTTATGTGTAAACTTTGCATAAAATAATCTACATTTTGCAGTTTTACTAGTACCCTGAGTTTTAAAATGAAATTCTTTAAATCATACATTACGTATTCAAATATAAACCACTTACAATAACCAATATGCCTACAGTCAAAATGAATATATTTTCAATACACAATTTAAATAATGCATCAGTTTTATGTAGTTCTATTTATATGAGCTATATTAAATATGCAACTGAGATTGATGTATAGCTAATTATTCTCATTCCAAATAGCCCGTATGACTTAATTTTGTTTCATATTTGAAAAGTCAGAGAATCACCTGCAGCAATTGCAAAATATTGGGATGTATGTGGGAGATAGGTCATATTTTTAGAACACAGAACAAGATATTTTCCACTTCTCTAGATATTTTCTGTTTTTCTTAATACAAGCATTAAATTACTCATTTCAGCTGGAGCTTCTACTATTTTTATAGCTCTTGTAGAAGCAAACTCACTCATAAGATTCATTTCAACTGTTTCATTCATTGAGCTAGTATTTGTTGTTTGCATCTTATGTGCAAGACTTTCTGTTGAGTATTGTTTGGTTAATGGAATAAAACAAATGGTTATATTGCAGACAACAATATCTCCCCTTCTTAGAACATTAAACAAAACTTCCAAACTAGCACTCACAGTTATTCAAATGAACTATGCCTATCATATTTCTCCAGTAGAATAGGAAAAATGTGTTTGAGCTTATCATAAGCCCCATTTATAAATGATAAATGCATTCAGTCCTATGGAGAACAACTTGGTGGTTCCCGTACTCTCATCATAGATGATAAATCATATTCAAAACAGGATTCAACTGAAAAATATTTTTGGCTGGGTGCGGTGGCTCACGCTTGTAATCCCAGCACTTTGGGAGGCCGAGGCGGGAGGATCACGAGGTCAGGAGATCAAGACCATCCTGGCTAACATGGTGAAACCTCGTCTCTACTAAAAATTCAAAAACATCAGCTGGGCTCTTTTTTTTTTTTTAAGATGGAGTCTCGCTCTGTCACTCAAGCTGGAGTGCAGTGGATCAATCTCGGCTCACTGCAAACTCCGCCTCGCAGGGCCACGCCATTCTCCTGCCTCAGCCTCCTGAGTAGCTGGGACTACAGGTTGTGCCACCACACCCGGCTAATTTTTGTATTTTTAGTAGAGACAGGGTTTCACCATGTTGACCAGGCTGGTCTTGAACTCCTGATAGAGATCAAGCCACTGCACTCCAGCCTGGGCAGCAGAGCAAGACTCTGTCTTAAAAAATACGCACACACACACACACACACACACACACACACACACATATATTTGGTGCAGACTGCATATAAATGTTCAGTCTTCTTTTCCACTAAATCTTATGTTGGTTACATAATATACCCATATTCTCTATAGCATATCTTTGCCAATAAAGTATACCTACACAGTTCTTTCTAGGTTTATCATGAATATATTTTAACCATCAATCAAGATATAAGTTTTAAAGTTTTTTAAAAAATTACCTGGAGAATTTTTTTAGATGAAAACTTGAGAGAGATGAAAAAACCCTATGCTTACGCTGATAGTTTTAATTAAATTCATGAAATTGTTACCAGCAAAATAGATCATCTTATTTGATAATAGAGCAGTACCATCAACCTTATTTTGATTTTTAGGTGTGAGGCTGCATTCCAGTTTTGATTGCTGATACTGATGATGAACTCGCTCCTGAAGTTAATCACTCTCCTCACACACATAAAGAAATTTAACTTCTGGTTGCTGTAACAGTCAAAGGTTGCTATACATAGTGCTTGCAATAAATTCTGATTGGATCTTTAGAGTTGAAGTTATAGGAAATGTCAACTCACACAGCACTAACCCATTCCTGATTACAGCCCCCCAGGATGCTGATTGCAATGTAGAAAACTTTGTAAAGGACAAGGGTTGTGTGTCATTGTCAGCGAACTTTGAAACAATAATTGTGATTTTATGACTATTTGTTATTACTGATTGTATGTCAAGCGAAAAAAAACCTCTAATGCATTTTTAGGCTCTTAATGCCTTCTAAATTTTACATAAAGTAGACTAGCTATTTCTGCTGTATAAGCAGATTACTAATCATTCATTTGGTCCCTTTCTGGGTAGCAAGTTGATACTTAATATTCAAGAGCCCTGCATCCTTAGATTTAACACTGCAGTGATATTTTAAAAATTATCCTTTGTAGCAAAGAAACAACATAACCACAATTTATGACCTTAATGTGTACTTGTTCAATAAACAAATCACCAGTTTGGAGACAGAAGGTCAATGTGGAAAAAAATATGAGTGTATCCTTCCAGCAAATTACTGCATTATTTTCTATGCACACACACAGAGATCTGGAATGATAATTCTATTTCCCATCCCCCCTTTCACACATACAGGCATGCACTTGGTGCACACAGTCCTGCACCAGAAAAAACTCGTGTGATCCCACAGGCAATCAAGTGGGATAGAGGGCAAAGCTCTGAGTTCAGTCCACACTAATTATGGACCCTCCCTCTGTTTCAGGGACTATCCTAGGTACTGCTGTACACTGTTCTCCAGCTATGGAAACGTCTGCTTTCATCTTAACATTTTCTAGAAATCTTTATTGAAATGGAACCTAAGCCATCTAACCTTATCTTTTTTTTTTTTTTGAGACAGAGTCTCACTCTGTTGCCCAGGCTGGAGTACAGTGGCGCAGTCTCAGCTGTGATCCACCATGCACAGTTGTCCTTGTTGTTCATTTATTCAACAAATCATCACTAACATTCAATAAACAGTTAATTTTTATCTTTTACAAAGTGCTGGAAACTCCAGGAGACAATAGGAACAAAAAAATAAACACACACAGACACACACACACACACACACACACACAGAGTTTAATTCTGAATTAACTTGAGAATCTGTGTATTGGACAATATAGTAATAAGATTTTAAAACTGGTGAATATGTACATGAACTCAAAAATATTAAATATCTGTTATTATTGACTAAACTTTATAGTTAGCCTTAATTAAAGCTTCGTAAGTGTGATTTAAGACATGTCCAAATTGCTTTTCTTATTGTCTTGGCAGAGGGAGTCTCTGAAACAGAGGGAGGCTCCATAATTTCACAATATGTGAGCATATGAAGGCAATCCTATTAGTTAACATTTTATCATTAATACTCTTTTTAAAACATTCAGGTCCCTTAATAGAAATTTTGAACCCTATAGATTGGCTCTTTTATCTATTTTTCAGTAACCAATGCTCAAAACAGAGTTTAAAATAGTAGAGAGTTGTGGAGAAACAAGCAGTTTGAGAAAGCCTAAAAAATTAGATTTGCCTTTATACATATATAAAAAAATTAAAGATACATACACTATTGACGAAATTAGACCTATTGATGTTTTTGGAAAGCATTTTTATTTGTGGAGGCTGAGTTTCTGTTTGTGCGTCTGTTTTTTGTGTATATACGTGCACACACATAATTGTGGATATCAAATGTACAAAAGAGGTAAGTAGATGATAATGGTCTCACTGAGATGAATTAAATATAATGTGAGATGGAACTTGACCCAGATTTTATCTTCAAGTCCCCTTAATATTATCTAGAGGCCTCCTGTCATAATCTTTTTTTTTTTTTTTTTTCAGACAGAGTCTCACTTTGTCGCCCAGGCTGGAATGCAGTGGCCTGATCTTGGCTCACTGCAACCTCCAGCTCTCAGGTTCAAGCGATTCTCTTGCCTCAGCCTCCCGAGTAGCTGGGATTACAGGCAGGCACCCTATGCTGAGCTAATTTTTGTATCTTTAGTAGAGACAGAGTTCCACCATGTTGGCCAGGCTGGTCTCAAACTCCTGACCAGAAGTGATCCACCTGCCTTGGCCTCCCAAAGTGTTGGGATTACAGGCATGAGCCACCATGCTTGGCCTTCCTCTCATGATTTTTAAAGCATTTACAATGCCTTAGTTTGTAGACAAATTATGAGTACAATTTGGAAAAGATTAAAATAAGATGCCAAAGTCAGGCACCAAGAATTTTCCAGAATGGATATATGAAGAGTGGAGCAGGTTACTAATCATGTAGAAATAATGAAATGTTTCCCAATTAGAAATGTCCAAGAAAGATGCACTTCAGATGTTTTAGATGGTTGTAATAATTGAATTTTTTAAACTCTTCAAAAAAATAAGTTGATTTAATTCTTTCACATAATTTCTAATGTTATTGTTTTAAATGTAAAATTATGGACTATATTTTATTAATTCTAAAAGTGAAGATTGAGGAGTAGTAAGACTATAATTAACCAAGCCTCTGATAACTATCATGCTACTCTCTACAATTACAAGATCAGCTTTTTTTAGATCCCACATATAAGTGAGCACGTGCAATATGTGTATTTCTGTGCCTGGTTTATTTTATGTAACATAATAACCTCCAGTTTCATCCATGTGGCTGCAAAAAAAAAAAGGATTTTATTATTTTATGGCAAAATAGTATTCCATTGTGTATATAAGCCTTATTTTCTTTATGCATTAATCGATTGATAGCCACTTAGGTTGATTCCATAGCTTTGCTATTGTGAAGTTATTTGCTGCAATAGATATAGAGGTGTAGTTATACCTTTGATATACTGATTTCCTTTCTTTTGGAAATGTATACCTAGTAGTGAGATTACTGGATAGTATAGTAGTTTTATTTTTAAGTTTTTTTTTTCTGGGAAATTTCCATGTTGTTGTACATAATGAATCTACTCATTTACATCCCAACTAAGAGTATATAAGAGTTCCCTATTCTCTGCATCCTCAACAAAATCTATAATTTTTTTCCATTTTAATAATAGCCATTCTAACTGGGGTATGATGTTATCTGATTATCATTTTGATTTGTATTTCCCTGATGATTAGTGATATCTAGTATTATTCTTATACCTGTTGGCCATTTGCATATCGTTTTATTAGAAATGTATATTTTTCTCCTTTTTCACTTTTTAATTAGATCATTTGTTTTTTTCCGCTGAATTATTTGAGTTTCTTACATATTATGACTATTAGTCATTTGTTAGATAAATAATTTGCAAATATTTTATCCTATTAAACAGGTTGTCTCTTTATTCTGTTGATTATTTATTCTGCTGAGCAGAAGCATTTTAGTTTAATATAGTCACATTTGTCTATTTTTGATTTTGTTTCATGTGCTGTTGAGGTCTTAGCCATAAAATTTTGGCCTAGGCCAATGTCCTAAAATGTTTCACCTATGTTTCATTATAGTAGTTTTGCAGTTTTGGGTCCTAAGTGTAAGTCTTTAGTACATTTTGAGTTGATATTTGTACATGGTGAGAGAAAGCAGTCTAGTTTCATTCTTCTGCATATGGATATTAAGTTTCCTAGCACCATTTATTGAAGACAGTTTCCTTTCCCTCTATCAGTGTTCTTGGTACCTTTCTTAAAAAATTATATGGCTGTAAATAAGTGGTTTTATTTCTGGGTTCTCTATTCTGTTCCATTGGTCTACGTGCCTGTTTTTATACCAATACCTTGTTATTTTGGTTACTGTTAGCCTTGTAATATATTCTGAAGTCAGGTAATATAATGCCTCCAGCTTTGTTCTTTTGGCTCAAGATTGCTTTATCTGTTTGGCCTCTTATATGGTTCCATATGAATATGAGGATAGATTTTTTTTTCTGTTTCTGTAAAAAATGGCAATGGTATTTTGATAGGAATTGCATTCAATCAAGATTGATTTTAGTAATATGGTCATTTCAACAATATGGATTTTTTTCTTTCCAAGAGCGTGGGATGTCATTTAATTTGTGTGTCTACTATAATGTATTTTATTAGTGCTTTGTGGTTTTTATTTTAGAAGTCCTTCACCTCTTTGGTTAAATTTATTCCTAGGTATTTTTATAGCTATTGTAAATGAGACTAGCTTTTTAATTTCTTTTTTAGCTAGCTCATTATTAGTGTTTAGAAACTACTGTTTATTTGTATGTTGAGTTTGTATCATGCAAATTAATTTTTTTAATCTGGCCTAAGTGTTTCTTAGAAGAATCTTCAAGTGTTTCTAAATATAAGATTACCTTATCAGCAAAGAAAGACACTTTGACTTCCTCCTTTCCAACTTGTCTGCCTTTTATTTCTTCCTATTTTCTGATGTCTATGGCTAGGTCATTTAGTACTATGTTGAATAGGAGTTGTGAAAGTGGGCATCTTGTCTTTTTCCAGTTCTTAGAAGAAAGGCTTTCAGTTTTCTCCATTCAGTATAATGTTAGCTGTGGGTTTGTCATATATGACCTATAAGATGTGTTTTTTTCTACACCTGTAGGAATGTTAGGAATGTTAATTTTATCAAATTCCTCTTATGTGACTCTCTGTTTTTGTCCTTCCTTCTGTTATTGTGATGTATTATATTTATTGATTTGCATATGTTAAACAATCGGTGCTTGCATCCTTGGCATGCCTTCCACTTTATCATGATATATTGTCTTTCTAATGCACTGTTAGATTCAATTTGTTAATATTTTATTGAAGATTTTTGCATTTATGTTCATTAGGGATATTAACCTGTAGCTTTTGTTGTTATTGTGTCATTTTCTAGTTTTGATATCAGAATAATGCTGGCCTCATATAATGTGTTAGGAAGAATTCTCTACTCTTCAATTTTTGAGAATAATTTGAGGAATTTTGATGTTGTTTTATACATGTGGTAGAAGTCAGCAGTGAAACCTTTAGGTCCTGGGATTTTCTCTCTTTTGAGGCTTTTTTATTGCTGATTCAATCTTGTTAATTGTTCTTGGCCTGTTCTGGTTTTCTATTTCTTCTTGAATTAATCTTGGTAGGTTGTATGTGTCCAGAAATTTATCTATTTTCTCTAGTTTTTCTATTTTGTTAGCATATATTGTTCATGTTGTCTCTGATTTTTTTTGTATTTCTGTGGTATCGGTTGTAATGTATCCTTTTATGTTTCTGAATTTATTAATTTGGGTGTTTTCTGTTGTTGTTTAGCTAGTGGTTTACTGACTTTATCTTTTTAAAAGACAAATTTTTCATTTGGTTGACTTTGTGTTATTTTGTCTCTATTACATTTCATTCTTCTCTGGTCTTTATTATTTCTATCCTTATATTAAGTTTGGGGTGTTTTTAGTTCTTGATTTTCTAGTTTCTTGAAGTGGATTATTAGATTATTTAAAATCTTTCTATTTTTTGATATAGGTATTTATTGATATAAACTTTCCTCTCAGCACTACTTTTGCTGTATCCAATAGGTTTTGGTGTGTTGTTTTTTCATTTTCATTTGTTTCAAAAATAGGATTAAAATTATTCTTCTTAATTTTCTCATTGACCTACTGGTCATTCAGGACCAAGTTGATTGATTTCCATGCATTTGTATAATTTCCAGAATTCCTCTTGTTACCAGCTAGTAGTTTTATTACACTGTGGTTTATATATATGTATATATATATATACACACACACATATATAATATATACACACATATATATATTTGATCCCTTCATAATTTTATAATGACCTTCTTTTTCTCTTTTTACTGTGTTTGACTTATAGCCTGTTTTTATCTAAGTATAACTACTTCTGATCACCTTGGGTTTCCATTTGTATGGAAAATCTTTATCCATTCCTTTACTTTCAGTCTATATGTGTCTACAGGTGAAGTGAATTTCTTGTAGGCAGCATATCATAGATCACTTAAAAAACTATTCAGACAGTCTAAATATTTTAAGTAAAAAGTCTAATTTATTTATATTCAGGTTTATTATTGATATTTGAGGACTTATTCATGTAAATGTTTTAAGTATTTTATGTTTGTTTTGCATATCTTTTGTTTCTTTCATTCTTTCTTATTGTGTATCATTTTGGTTTGGTGGTTTTTTTGTAGTGGTAACATTGGAGTTCTTTCTCTTCCTCATTTGTATGTTTAAAACTCTATCAGTGAGTTTTATACTTTCATGTATTTCACAATGATAGATATAAGCCTTTTGTTTCCAGGTGTAGGACACCCTTAAACATTTCTTGTAGGGATGATCTAATAGTTATAAATTCCTTCAGTTTTTGCTTGTCTGGGAAAGACTATTTCTTCTTCATTCATATAGCAAAACTTTGCTGTGTATAGTAATCTTGATTGCCAATTTTTTTTTAATTTTCTTTTAGCCCTTTGAATATATCATCCTATACTCTCCTGGCCTGTAAGATTTATTCTGAGAAATCCAGTGCCAATCTGCTGAGAGTTCTCTTACATATAACAAGACACCCTGCTCTTTGTTTTTAGAATTTTCTATTTGTATTTGCATTTGACATTTTGACTATAATGTGCCATGAAAAACACCTTTTGAATGTATCCATTTGAGAATCTCTAAGTTTACTACTTCTGGATATCTAAATCTTGCTAGACTTAGGAGGTTTTCAGTTATTATTTTGTTATATAGGTTTTCTATGCCCTTTGTATCTCTTTGCCTTTGGAACATCCCAAATTTAAATATTTTATTGCTTTATGATGTTCTATATGTGACATAGATTTTGTGTATTCTTTTAAAAACTTTTTATCTGACTGGGTTATTTCAAAAACTGTCTTTAAATTCTAAAATTCTTTATTCTACTTAATCTAGTCTATTGTTGAAGCTCTTAAATTTATTTTTTGTTTCATGTATTAAATTCTTCATTTCTGGGATTTCTATTTGATTCTTTTTTATGATATCTATCACTTTGTTGAATTTCTCACGTAGGACATGAATAAGTTTTCAATTTATTTGTATTATTTTGTCTGTGTCTTTTTGTTTTCATGGAACTTCTTTAATATCATTATTTTGAATTCTTTTTTCTGGCATTTCATACTTTTTTTATTGAAATCTGTTGCTGAAAAATCACTGGGATCCTTTGGATGAAACATATTTCCTTGCTTTTTTATTTTTCTTGAGTTCTTATATTGTTATTTGTGCATATGGTGTAACAGTCACTTCTTCCATTTTGGGATTTGCTTTCTTAGAGGAAGACTTTTTTATAAAGATGTATTTATGCTGTTGGCTGAGCAGGGCACTTTAAATTTGATTATGGGTGCATTAAGTAGTATAGTCTTCATATGCCTTCTTCAGCTGTAAAGAACAGCAATGATGTCTGTGATTTCCTCAGTAGCTTAGGTTTAATTGTAAGGCTATAGTGAGGTTTTGCTGGGGAAGAGGATTCTAGATGGGTCAGTCCCTCAGCCCCAGTGATTCCAATGATAGGATAAGCATGACTGTCACTAGGCTCCCAGGCAGTGTATGTAGTCAGTAGCATTAGCCAGTCCAAGTGAGCCAGTTCTTGAACCTCTAGGCCACTTCCTTCTTTGTGCCTGTGACAGTGGTGGGCTGGTTGGGTAGGTGGATCTTTGGGTTTTGGGTAGTGTGTATGGCATGAGTGATGGCAGTAATGGTGGTGGGAAAACCCTTAGGCTCCTAAGCAGCATGCTGTGGTGTTAATGGTGGCTGCTGTAAGCTGGGTAGGGCCATCCTCAGGCCCTCAGAAAGAGTGTACAGGTGCCAGCAGTGGTGGATGGGGCACGGTGATTCCCAGGCCCTTGGGCAGTATGTTTTGGTACTGCACAAGTGGTGCCAAGCTGGGTGGGATTGTCCTCAGGCCTCTTGGTACTGTTCATGGGTATCAGCTGTGGCAGGTAGGGTTGGGTAGACCCCAGGCCCACCATCAGCAGTGGTGTGGACAGATAGAGCCTGTTATCAGGGAATGTGTGAATGTGTTGTGACCTTGCTTCTGGAGGATTGGGTCTTCTTTCTGTGGCGGAAGCCACAAGTATCAGCTCTGAGGCTGTGGAGAGTACACGCTTCATGCTCTGGAGATGGCGGCAGTGGCTGCAGCAGTGGCACCAACAGGGACGTCTAGTCTCTAAGGCATGTGAAACTGCACTGGAGCCCTGCCACTGCTGGTGGAGGTAGGCTTGCTTTCAGTGGTAGCAGTCCCAGGCAGGAGGGTTTCAGGCTCTGGGGAGCATGTGCTATGGCTCCCTTGTCCTATGCCAACGAAGTTTGCTGCATGGCCCATTCCCCAAGATACAGGACGCTGTGTATACTAGAGTGCTGGGGACCCTGCCATTCCAGTGGGTGTAACTGATGTCATGCCACTGTAGTCCTCTGTGTGAATGTAAGACAAGTGTGCAAGGGGAGGAATGTCAGTGAACTCCAGTGACTGAGATGCAGGGGCTATTTGGCCTCAGAACAGGATGCATTCTGATGGAGGCTGGTCTTTCAAAATGGCTCTGGGATGCAACTTCTTATCTCTTAGCAGGTGTGTGGGACCAAGTGGAGCATCACTCCCTCCCGGAGCAATGCCATCACACTCTCTTCAGGTAGCTCCCCAAGCCAGTCTCACAGCATGCCGGCATCAAGGACCTCTCCACGTCTGGAACTGCTCCACACAGTGGGGAGCCTTTCCAGGCTCCCAGCTGATCACAGCCAAATTAGTTGCTTTGCTTCCCTTTCTTTCAGTGTCTCAGGTGCTTCCTGTCACTTCTTTGCTGAATTCCAGTGTTACTTCTTAGATACTCTACTTAAAGTGATCATCCACTTGTCATGTTGGTTTTTCTTTGTGGAGGAGGTTAGTGCTAGATGTCTTAGTCAGCCATTTTGAAACTATTCCCGTGTTGTAATGTTATTAAATTCCAACACAGTTTCCTTCACAAATTCTCAATACTAGCATATAATAATTTTTTATTTTTTTTTGGTTGGGAAGATATTTTGTTATATTTCTAGTTGCAATTACAAGTCCCATGTTTTACTGTGACATTGTGAAAAGTAGTGATTTAATGAACTTGAAGTACAATGAGTTCAGCTGTAAATCTTGTTCTGAAAACACAATGTGTTCCACAGTTGCGGAACACAAAACACATTTGCCACAAAATTCTACATTCGTTTACACACAATTTCATCCATAAGAAACACTAGGTGAACACAGACAACTGCATCCCACTGAATACACAAAATGTATGTATTTGTAGGTGCGCGCACATAAATAGGCATTTTAAACATCTACGCTGGCTATCTCATTGCATGTGTAATGAGCCACCAACATCCATATCTGGTGTTCCAACTTTCCATCAAATTTTGAACAACTTTCCTTCCATTACTTAACAATTCACAAGCTGTAACTCTTCCAAAACCTACTATCACATAAAAACTTCAGGTTTTTGCAAGGTAAGGTACCATATTTATTGCAATATTGGTGAATTTTTAAATCATTTAACACTTGGAAACTCTTTTTACTAAGTTCTTAAAGTTTGTCTTATTTATCATAGTACAAAGTTTTTTAGTGTCATGTCCTTGACTCTATTTTTCCCATAAGTCCTATGATTTTTACTTTGAAATGTTTTATTGCGTGCTGGTTTTTAAGAATTTGTATATATTTTGCATTATATCAGAACTAACAATAATATCAAATACATATTAGTATGAATTAATTAATTTATTCATATTACAAGTATCCTGTCAGTTGACTACCCACACTTCTAGGAATTTATTAGATATAGCATACAATACTTTATGCTCACCAAACCACTTTCTTCTTTCTGGCACATGTAAAATTTCCCATTCTCCTTTGCAGTCAGTTTGGGGCTATAATTCAAATGGAGTGTGGAAGAAAGTCTATATATTATTTCTGAGACTGGAACTTAAAAATATCCTGTGTGATCCTCCAGCCACCTCTCCTGCTTCCATTGGTCGATTTGTCAGTGTCCGTTCTGAGACTCTCTCTCTTCAAAAAGATGGAACTTAACATCAAACATTGTTTACACAGGTGATGTAATAGCACCAAAGCCAAATGGGACAATGATGTAAGAGAGAGCTGGAGTAACCAAGGCAGAAGGAGCTCATGAGTCAGGGAATTGAAAACTGGATCCAACCAGGGCATGCTGCCTGGATGCGTCTATATCTGTGGAGGAAATGTGGCCATCCTGAGGATGCCACCCAAAGCACAAAGAGATGGGGAAAAAATCCTGGCAACTAATATTTTCCCACACATCAGTCTTCTGACAGCACCTCCCATGAGGGAAAGGGTGGGAGACAGTCAGAAAGGAAGTTGTTCCTAATAACGCACCAAGGCAGAAAAGGGCTGGAAATGAGAACAACAGGAATAATAACCTGTACAGAGTGACTTTGGAACCAATGTGTCCCAGATTGTGTAGTCATAAAATAAAGACAATTGTGGTCCCTGGAGGGAAGGTGTCTAGTAGAGGAAAGGTGTCTAGTAGAGTCACCTGACCAGCACTGGACTGTGCTACAAATATATTTAAAAGCATTTAACATGCTAAGTCACTGAGGTTTCTGATTGTTTGGCTACAGCTATTGTAATTCATAGAGATATTTCATTTTCCCTACTTGACATTTGTATTTGTATCGTAGTATAAATATCTGCTTCTGAGAGGGCCTTGATTTCTCTTTGGTTCCACAGAAGTAGGTTAAAGTGCAAGATTCAGTTATGGAGCACATGATCTTAACGAATCCCATCAGTTGTTTCAGGTTAGGACATGTCACGTAAGCCATTCAGTCAGAATCTTTAATTTATCCCTACAATATTCCTTCCTTTTGAACATGAATAAAAAAGTATGTGACTCTGGAAAATTTTTACAGCCATATTACAACCTGAGAAGTGTCAGGTCTACAAAAAAGCTGTAATAAGGAATGGAAAGATAAAAGATACTTGACGACACATTTTTGAGCTTTATAATAAAATAGGATCTACCTCTCGAAACTTCAATTGTGGGAAATCAATAAATATTATTTATTCTTTAAGGCAATATTCTTTCTTTCTGCCTCTCTCTTTCATTCACTTTTTATTTCTCAGAGTAAAAATATATCCAATTCCAAATTACAGGGTTTTCAATTTTAAAAATTAACATTGTTTTTAAACATGTAGTTTTATTGAAGAAAATCTAAAAAATGTAGAAGACTCTAAAAATTAAATTAAAAAATCTCTTTGTATCTGAAAAAAAGCTATAGTTTACATATTGCTATTCTGTATTTTATTATTTCTGTACATATATTTTAATATATATTATACATATAAATTTAGTTATATGGCTAAGTTAAACTTATTTTATTAAAAATGATATTTTATTAGTGACATTTTCTTTTTCCCTCAATTCTTTCTCTTTTAATTGGCATGTTGGTGTGTATGTTAATTCCTAATATTAAATATTAAATACAATTTTAATTCATATATATTTGGTAGAAAAATGTATAAATTAAATGCTATGATTTTTAAATAAGATCATATATTTATAGGATTTTGAAAATGATTAATAGATATTTGTGTGAAATGCAGCTTATATTCCTGCCTAAATTCTCCCATGGTTAAAGTAAAAATAGTAGACATTTGTCTATGATTTTTTGCTAAAAATATGAGAGATTTCTCAGCTGGATGGGAAAATGTCATGAAAAACAAACAATTAGAAACTATAGAAAGGAAAATCAAATGAACTGGGGGCACGGAGAAGTTGATATAAAAGGAAAGGATGACAAAGATATAAAACAACTCTGAGGATTAGAGCAGCTCAATAATCTTTCCTCACTCATTCATTATGTGCCAGTTCCTAGTTCTCTAGAGAGTCTAGTTGACCTACAGGCATTCAAGTTTCCTGGCGATGCAGGCACTGCCTAAGAAATCTGCATAGTGGTTTGAGAAACAGTGAAACAGGGGACACGTGTGAACAATATATATAGAGAGGAATTATCTCAGAGGAAGATTAAAGAATGTGCCTAAGTAAAATTGTAATGAGTGTGTATTGGAAAGCTCTTACAGATGATGTTTCAAGTGCAAAGTTGAGGATCATCAAAGATGAAGCCAGATGAATTCAAAGTTTCCAAACATATCAAATAATTTTAATAACTACCACCCATTCTGCTTGTAATAAATGCCCATTATCAGATTACTCTTAAATAAACCCAAAATCAGAGACTTTAAATGATCCCTTTAAAATCACAAAACAAGTAAGGTTGAAAAGTGGAATTTTAAAACAATCTAACATCTTAAAGTCCATTAGCCAGAGTCAAACACTACCCTCTTTTATTTAATCCCCATCCTAGCAAGACCACAATCACAAACACATAATATGCAGGAGAAAAATTTAAACAGTTATCAGGATTAAACCAGCATGGGTATCTATGAAGCTGCAGAAGAGGCCATATGGATGACAATAGTAATCAACTGTCTAAGAAACACAGCATATATTAGAAAAATAGAATATGGCAAAAACTATTAAAATACTACAGTATGGTTTTTAATTACATAAAATATGAAACAGAATTGCTAAGAAACCATGAGAAATTCCTTTAAGCAACAATGTCAGATTAGGCTTTGTTTCCTATTTGCACAGAGGTCTGTTGATCACTTGCAGAACACAAATTTCAGAAAATTTAAAGTCTAGATAGATAGATAGATAGATAGAGTTATATGTTGAACTTTGAACATTTTATATATTGAATATATATATATGTTCTGTAAAAATGGAGATAATATGTGCATATTGTTCAAATCTATAAAAAAGGAAAGAACTTTCAAAGCAGTAAAGTATTGGAAGATATGATGAATAATACATGTATAAAAGATAATTAACTCCCGTAGTAGTAAAAGTCACTTCAAAGCAACAGTGATGCATTTCTTCACCTATATAATTACGATCCTTTCATTTATCAATTTAGTTAGCTGATACTGCTTAAGATGGCTGGATGAAACTAACACTTCATGTCCTGCATATATAAAGGAATTTGATAGTATCAATCAATGCCTTGCTTTTTGGGCAAATATTATCCCATCATTTATTTTAACAGAGAGAAAGTAAGATAAGGAGTCTGTCAAAGACATTTTAGAGAATTGAAAAGACCAACAACAACCAAAAGACATTGAGTAACTCACAAAGAGTGAAAGAGAGACCAGTTACACTCTCTGCCCTCTGCTTCCTGGAGCTGGGAAACAACAACAAAAATTGACTGGAGTTAATAGAACATAAAAGCTTAGAAGAGAGAGGACTCAGCCCACTCTGTGACTCAGCAATGGGAAAAGGATGGGGTACCATTCAGCTGAAGGTGGTGTCTTAGAAGCAAAAAAGAAGGACCTCATGGAGGGTGACTTTGACCTCTAAGGACCAGTGCTACCTTACAGGGGCTGATGTCTTTAAGGAGTACAATGAGCTGGTTCTGAGAGTGCCAAAGGACAAAAACAAAAACAGAAAGGGAAACAGGAGGAAAGTAGTGCAGTCAAGATGATAAATGATGCTGATGAGAATAAGAAACAAGAAGCAGCGAAGACTTTTCCCTCCTCCAGTGTTCCTTTCCCCCTCTAGTGTGCCTGTTGGCAGAATTGAAGAGGGAGCAGCTGTCAAAGAAGAAATATGGTTTACAAAGTCTAAGTCTTAGCTTCAGGAATCAAAGTATAAATAAAGGCTTAAATAAAGAGAGATTTGGAGTTGAGAAATAATAGCTTCCAAATGGTCATATGTATCAAGTGTCCTAAGTTCTTTTACACCTCTTCTAGGACTCAATCTTAAAGAACTACTCAGAAACTTAAAGAAAATTTATGACCAAAGATACTTTCTGTGGTATTGAGTATAAGAGCAAAGACTTAAAAAACAGCCTAAATCTTTAAACAAGGGGAAGTAGCAAAATAATTTATCACATGTTTATATAATAGACTACATGATCATTAGAAATGATGACCACAGAGATTTTTTTTATGATATGACAAATAATTGAGGTAAAGGTGAATATTCTATAACAGGTTAGGGTAAATATTTATATGATGCAGCACAGTAAGTGAAAAAAATTGCAGATTAAATAAGAGAAGATTATCTCTCTCTCTCAGGTAACAGCCCAGCTAGACTGGGTTTGTAGGGCTACTCAACATCAAGGGGTCATTTTGGTTCTTACATTTGTTTACCTTATTACTCAGTTATTTATTAAGGTATTTTCCTGGTTGGCATTTCAGCTATTGACAAGGTAAAAGATGTCATAATGTTGGAAAAGCAGCCAATCTTTAGGTTGTTTTTGAGACACTGCCACAATATAAGAAAGTAGTTTTTAGTTATTAAAATAAATAATAAATAAAGAGGACTGCATCTGTAATAAAACTATTCAACTAAAAGGACTTTATTTTTATTTTTACTTTTGTTTTAGGCTCAAGGGTAAATGTTCAGGTTTTTTATATGGGTAAATTGCATGTCATGAGGGCTTGGTGTACAGATTATTTCGTCATTTAGGCAATCAGCATAGTACCTGATAGGTAGTTTTTGATCCTCTGTCTACTCCCACCTTGCGCTCTTAAGTCATGTGTTCGTGTGTACCCCATGTTAAGCTTCCACTTATAAGTGAGAAAATGCAGTATTTGGTTTTCTGTTCATTCATTAGTTTGCTTAGGATAATGGCCTCCAGTTCTATCCGTGTTGCTGCAAAGAACATGATCTTGTTCTTTTTAAGGTGGCATAGTGTTCCATGGCGTATATGTACCATATTTTCTTTTTTTAGTCTGCCATTGATGGACATTTAGGTTGATTCCACGTCATCGCTATTATAAATAGTGCTATGATGAACATATACATGAATGTGTCTTTATAGTAGAATAATTTATATTCCTTTGGGTATGTACCAAATAATGGGATTGTTTGGTTGAATGGTAATTCCTTATTAAGTTCTTTGAAAAATCACCAAATTGCTTTCCGCAATGGCCAAACTAATTCACATTCCCAGCAGCAGTGCGTGTAAGCATTCCCTTTTCTCTGCAACCTCACCAGCATATTTTTAGACTTTGTAATTTTTTTATTCTGTCTGGTGTGAGATGGTGCCTCATTATGGTTTTGATTTGCATTTCTCTAATGATGAGTGATTTTGAGTATTTTTTTCATATGCTTGTTGGCCACATGTATGTCCTCTTTCGAAAAGTATCTGTTCACATCCTTTGCCCTCTTTGTAATAGGGTTTGTGTGTTTTTTGCTTCTTACTTATTTATGGATTCTGGCTATTATACATTTATTAGATGCACAGTTTGCAAATATTTATCAAATTATATAAGTTGTATGTTTACTCTGTTTATTTTGTTTTGCTGTGCAGATGTTCTTTAGTTTAATTAGTCCCACTTGCCAATTTTTGTTTTTGTTGCAATTGATTTTGGCATATTAATCATGAAATCTTTGCCAGATCCTATGTCAAAAATGGTATTTTCCAAGTTTTCTTCCAGGGTTTTTAAAGTTTTAGGTTTTACATTTAAGTATTTAATTCATCTTGAGTTGATTTTTTTATATGGTGTAAGGAAGTAATCCAGTTTCAATCTTCTGCATATGGCTAGGCAGTTATCACAACACCATTTATTGTATAGGGAATCCTTTCCACATGGCTTGTTTTTGTCAAATTTGTCAAAGATCAGATGGCGGTACATGTGCAGCTCTCTATTCTTTTCCATTGGTCTATGTATCTGTTTTTGTAACATTACCATACAGTTTTGGTTACTTTATCCTTTTAGTATAGTTTGAAGTTGGATAATGGGATACCTCTGGCTTTGCTCTTTTTAATTAGGATTGCTTTGGTTATTTGGGCTTTTTTGGCTCCATATGAATTTTAAAATAGTTTTCTCTAATGCTGTGAAAAATGACATTGGTAGTTTGGTAGAAATAATATTGAATCTGTAAATGGCTTTGAGCAGTATGGCCATTTTAACAATATCAATTATTCCTATCCATGAGTATGGAATGTTTTTCCATTTGTTTGTGTCATCTCTGATTTCTTTCAGCAGTATTTTATAGTTCTCTTTGTAGAGATCTTCCGCCTCTACACTTAGCTGTATTATTAGATATTTTATTCTACTTGTGGCTGCTAGAAATGGGATTGCATTATTCATTTGGCTCTCAGCTTCAACATAATTGATATATAGAAATGCTACTGATTTTTATACATTGAAACTTTACCGAAGTCATATATCAGTTCTAGGAGCCTTTTGGTGGAGTCTTTAGGGATTTTTAGGTATAGAATCATATCATCTGCAAAGAGAGATAATTGGACTTCCTCTAGTCTCATTTGGATGTCTTTTATTTCTTTCTCTTTCCTGATTGCACTGGTTAGGACTTCCAGTACTATGTTGAATAGGAGTGGCAAGAGCAGGCATGCTTGTCTTGTCCTGGTTTTCAAGGGGAATTTTTTTAGCTTTTGCCTATTCCATATGATGTTGGCTGTGGATTTTTCATAGATGGCTTCTATTATTTTGAAGTATGTTCCTTCAATGCCTAGTTTGTTGAGAATTTTCAACATGAAGGGGTGTTGAAGTGTATCAAAAGACTTTTCTGCATCTATTGAGATGATCATGTGGTTTTTTGCTTTTAGTTCTGTTTATGTGATGAATCACATTTATTGATTTGTATTGATATGTTGAACCAAATTTGCATTCCAGAGGTAAAGCCTACTTGATTGTGGCAGATTAGCTTTTTGAAGTGCTGCTGAAGTTGGTTTGTTAGTATTTTGTTGAGGATTTTTACATTTATGTTCATCAAGGATATTGGTCTCATGTTTTCTTTTTCCATTGTGTCTCTGTCTGGTTTTGATATCAGAATTATGCAAACCTCATGAAATGAGTTAGGGAAGAGTCCCTCCTCCTGAATTTTTTGGAATACTTTCAGTAGGAATGGTAACAACTCTTTATACATTTGGTAGAAACTCGCTGTGAATCCATCTGGTCCTGGACATTTTCTGATTGGTAGGCTTTTTATTACTGAATCAATTTCAGAACTCATAATTCATCTGGTCAGGGATTTAATTTCTTCCTGGTCGAGTCTTGGGAGGTTGTAGGTTTCCAGGAATTTATCATTTTTTTTCTAGGTTTTACAGGTTGTGTGCATGGAAGTGTTCATAGTAGTCTAGGAAGGTATTTGGTATTTCTGTGAGTTTGGTGATTTTTTTGTCTTCTGCCAGCTCTGTGATTGGTTTGATCTTTTTTCTCTGGTTTCTCTAAGTGTGACAGTAGATTGTTAATTTGAGATCTTTCTAGCTCTTTGATGTAGGCATTAAGAGCTATAATCTTCCCTCTTAACACTGCTTTACCTGTGTCCCAGTGATTTGGGTATGTTGTATCTTCTCATCAGTTTCAAATAATTTCTGAATTACCATCTTAATTGTATTGTTTACCTAAATGTCCTTTAGGTAGGTGTAAGTTGATTAATTTCCATGTAATTGCATGGTTTTAAGTGATTTTTCTAGTATTTATTTATACTTCTATTGCACTGTTGTCCGAGAGTGTGTTTGCTGTGATTTCAGTGTTTTTTTTTTTTGATTTGCTGAGGATTGTTTTATGTTTGATTGTGTGATCAATATAGAGCATGTGCTATCTGCAGATGAGAAGAATATATATTCTGTGGTTTTGGGGTGGAGCATTCTACTGATGTCCATTAGTCACATTTGGTCAACTATTATCTTTAGATCTCAAATATCTTTGTTAATTTTCTGCCTCGATGATCTGTCTATTACTGTCAGTGATGTGTTGAAGTCTCCACTATTAAGTCTTTGTAGGTCTCTAAGAACTTTCTTTATGAATCTTGGTTCTCCTGTGTTTTATATATATAACATATATATTTAATTTGATTTACACACACTAAGAGAAGTTAGGTCTGCTTGTCAAATTGAACCCTTTACCATGGTGTAATGCCCTTCTTGTCTTTTGATCATTGTTGCTTTACAGTATGTTTTGTCTGAAATTAGTTATCAAATATCTTTGTTAGTTTTTAGGTCTCAAATATGAGTAATTAGGTCTCAAATATCTTTGCTAACACCTGCCTTCTGTTTCTCATTTGCTTGGTAGATTTTTCTGTCTCCTTTTTTTTTTAGTTTACGGTTGTCATTGCATGTGACATTGGTCTCTTGAAGACAGGATACACTTTGGACTTGCTTCTTCATTCAACTTGCCACTCTGTTCCTTTTAATTGGGGCATTTACCCTGTTTATCTTCAACGTTAATATTGGCATGTGTGGCTTTGATACTGCCGTTGTGTTGTTAGCTGTTTGTTATACAGACTTGATTGTTTGGTTGCTTTATAGTATCAATGGACTATGTACTTAAATGTGTTTTTGTGGCGACCAGTAATAGTCTTTTATTAAATTTCTGTATTTAGTACTCCTTTAAGGATCTTCTTTAAGGCAGTTCTGGTGGTAATGAATTCCGTTAGCATTTGCTTCTTTGAAATGGATCTTATTTCTTCCTAGCTTATGAGGCTTAGTTTGGCTGGATATGAAATTCTTGGGTGGAATTTCTTTTCTTTAAGAATACTGAAAACACATCCCCAATCGCTTCTGGCTTGTATGGTTTCTGCTGAAAGTTACACTGTTAGCCTGATGCAGTCCCCTTTGTAGATGACCTTACTCTTCCCAATAGCTGCATTTAACATTTTTTCTTTCATTTTGGCCTTGGAGAATCTGATGACTCTGTGTCTTGGGAATGTTACCAGTGGCAAATATTCAAATTACCGGCAGCAAATCCATACGTGTCTAAAGCAACCTCAATTCTTGCCTCCTCAGATTTTTTATTTTGACTGAAGGGCATAAGGGAGAAAAAGAGACCAAGGGAAGTTTTAGAGCAGGAGTGGAAGTTTATTTTAAAAGGCTTTAGAACAAGAAAGAAAGGAAAGTATGCTTGGAAGAGACTCAGTGAGCAGCTTAAATAACAAGTGTGGTGTTTAACCTGGATCCTAGGACTCTATAGGCTGGCCCCTTTCTTGTGATTTTTCCCTTAGGGTGGGCTGCCTGCATGCACAGTGTGCTTCTTGCCCTTGGGAAGTGAGCATGCACAGTGTGTTTAAGAAGTTGTATGTATGTTCATCTGAGATACTCCTCACTTTCCCGGTGGATTGCTGACAGAAGGTCATACCCTGCCATTTTTTCTCTTAATGTGCACGCCTGGGCTCATGAGACCATTACCTGAGATTTTATTGGAAGCCCTTTTTGCTACTCCCTGGCACCTGAATTCAATTAACACGTTAATATTAACAGCTGTGGATCATCAGGAAATGGCCTCTCCCTGGTGCTGGCTGCCAATTTATGACTTTTTAGAGAGGCAATGTGATAATTGCCAAACCATTGCTGACATTCCTAGATTTGGGGAAGAGTCCTCTCCTGCCCTGCTCCTGCCTGTCTAACTACCCATAATAGGAACAGTCATCTTATATAGTATCTCACAGGGATTCTCTGCATTTGTTCAATTTGAATGATTACCTCTTTAGCGAAGTTGGGGTAATTTTTATGAATAATATTCTCAAAAAAGTTTTAAAGTTGCTTGCTTTCTCTGCTCTTTCAGGGATGCCAATGAGTCGTAGATTTGATAGGGTTATGTAATCCCATATTTCTCATAGGTTTTGTTTTATCTTTATTTTTTATTCTTTATTTTTTGTCTGACTGTGTTATTTCAGAGACCAGTCTTCAAGCACTGAGATTCTTTCCTCATCCTGGTCCATGTTGCTTTTAGTACTTGTGATTGTGTTATGAAATTATTGAAGTGAGTTTTTCAGCTCTATCAGATCACTGCTTTTGTTTACTTTTTTTTTTTAATGATTGTTGCAGGAAGTCAGGGACCCCGAATGGAGGGACAGGCTGAAGCCATGTCAGAAGAACATAAATTGTGAAGATTTCATGGACGTTTATTAGTTCCCCAAATTAATACTTTTATAATTTCTCACACCTGTCTTTACTTCAATCTCTGAACATAAATTGTGAAGATTTCATGGACACTTATCACTTCCCCAATCAATACTCTTGTGATTTCCTATGCCTGTCTTTAATCTCTTAATCCTGTCATCTTCGTAAGCTGAGGATGAATGTCGCCTCAGGACCCTGTGATGATTGTGTTAAATGCACAAATTGTTTAAACAATATGAAATCTGGGCACCTTGAAAAAAGAACAGGATAAGAGTGATGTTCAGGGAACAAGGGAGATAACCTTAAAGTCTGGCTGCCTGTGGGCCAGGCGGAACAGAGCCATATTTCTCTTCTTTCAAAAGCAAATAGGAAAAATATTGCTGAATTCTTTTTCTCAGCAAGGAACATCCCTGAGAAAGAGAATGCGTTCCTAAGGGGAGGCCTCTGAAATGGCTCCATTGGGGACATCTGTCTTTTACGTTTGTCGTTAAGGGATGAAATAAGCCCCGGTCTCCAGTAGCGCTCCCAGGCTTATTAGGACTAGGAAATTCCTGCCTGATAAATTTTGGTCATACCGGTTGTCTGCTCTCAAACCCAGTCTCCTGATAAAAATTATCAATGACAATGCATGCCCAAAACTTCATTAGCAATTTTAATTTCGCCCCAGTCCTGCGATCTTGCCCTGCCTCCATTTGCCTTGTGATATTTTATTACCTTGTGAAGCATGTGATCTCTGTGACCCACACCCTATTCGTACACTCCCTCCCCTTTTGAAAATCACTAATAAAAACTTGCTGGTTTTACGGCTCAGGGGCGTCACGGAACCTGCCGACATGTGATGTCTCCCCCAGACACCCAGTTTTAAAATTTCTCTCTTTTGTACTCTTTCCCTTTATTTCTCAGACAGGCTGACACTTAGGGAAAATAGAAAAGGACCCACATGAAATATTGGGGGCTGAATTTCCCGTGATAAATGACCGTTTCTTCTTTTATCTCTTGTATTGTTTTATTGCCATCCTTCAATTTTCTGGATTGGATTTTTGCTTTCTCTTGAATGTCAATGGTCTAGATTTGTGTAACGATAAACCGGTGTGTTAAAAAGCTAAGAATCCTTCCAAATTTAAGTTTTTGCTACCAACAGATTATAAAATATTATTTGGAAGCTTTCTAGACTTTTCAAATCAACAATAAAGTTTTATTTATATGCATATGTCTATACTGAATTATCAAATATTTAACTATATTTAATGCATATTAATAGTTGACACATCTTATACCCTTTTTATGCCCTGTTGTATGTATAAAGTCTGTGATGTCAATTGACTACTTACCATTAGATTTATTGTATTTAAGAGTCAATAGACTAGTGATGCATATAGTTAATATTAAGACAAGCAGGTACAAATAATAACCTCCATCCGAAGGAAAAATTGTTAGAAAAAATTCCTAAACATTATTTTAAAAAAGAAAGAAAGTGAGACAAAATATTTTATTGCAGAAGCTAAACATTTAGATAAATTGTGGAGAAATGCCAATAGGTTTTCTCTTTTTCTTTGTTATTTCCCTTTTTAAATTTCTTTGGTTTCACAATAAATTTTTGCAAATTTTTTATTGAATCCTTAAGTGACAAAAAGTTTTAATACAGGTCTTTCATTTTGCAAAGTCAACTTCTAATTTACTGAACTCTCATTTGCATATTCTAGTGAAAAACATTTCTTGTTTTTTATCCATTAAGTTTGGTCCTTATTCCTCACCAAATTCACTAACACATAAATGTAGGAGGTTATCATTGTTTTTTCTATTGCTACCTGGGACAAAAAAATAAAAGAAGGTAGTAATCTAGAAAAATTATCTTGTTTATCTCAATTTTCTATTCAGTTTGTGAGGATTGTGTTAAATTTGATTTGTTTAGGTGACTTATTTCTTTAAAGATGTGATTAAAAAAATAAAGATGTGGTTTATATAATAGTTGTGAAGTAAGACTGCTTGGACCCTCGTCTGAATTCACACTTTCAGGCTAGGTCAACTTAGCCTGAAACTTACTAACCTGTCAATGAGTCAGTTTTCCCTGTAAAAAGGAGACAATAATAGCAGCCCTTTCACAGCTTTATTATGAGAATTAAATGTGTTTATAATTGTAAAGAGTATGTTGCAGGGTGCATTATCAATCCATTTTAAACATTCCAATTACAAAAATATGATATGCTTTTGAAATTCAAAGAATGAAAATATAAAATACAGAAAGCTGGTTGAAGTTACTTGATTTAATTAAAAGAATATTCTAGTAAAACATTTTATAGAGATAGTTGGATTTAATGTCTAAAGAAACAACCACTAAATATATCTGATGATTTATAATTCTTTCCAAATTTATGCTTTACGTTAGTTTACTTTAAAGATTTTATTTTTTATTTTTGAAGGTTTACCTTAGTTTAGGCCTAAGTTAAGAAAGCTTAAAATCAGATAAAGTCTGGATATAGTCTAGAACTATAACATTTCCAAACTATCATTATCAAGACTTATTAATAAAATATAACTTTATTTGCTAAAATAAATAGCTTACAAACATGTAAATTATCTGTTTTAAATGGTTATTGTGATTTTTAAATATTTTCTAAACCTATAAACTCTTAATCCTTAGTCAATAGTTTAGTTTCTGATGATATTTAACCTGACAATTCCTAGTAATTCCTGGCAGTCTAATAAGTTTCTCAACAACAAAAACAGAATAAAGCATGGTGTAAAGACAGCTCTCCCTGGATTATCTCTCATTTCCTCAATGTCTCAAATCAGAAAAAAAGTAATTCACTAATGTCACAAACCATTGTTTTATCTTAAATGAAATAAATATTTTCTTGTCCTTGATTGAATGCAGGTGAGCATCACCTAAAGACATTTCTGATTTAATTATAAATGAATATGTGTCTTAAGAAAAGGTCATTTCTGAAAATAACTGGATTGAGAGGTCTTTATTATTGTCTATAATAATAGGATTTAAGTTTCAAAATCTGACACTTAAAATATTTCTGACCAAGAGATGGAAAACAAACACTATCATCAAATATTATTATTGACAATATTTCTATCACAATAAAATTGTATTTTTATTTTTTAAAGCAGTTATTGACAGAATATTTCTTACAGCTTCTCCTCTCCCTGACAGATAATACTTATACTGTTGTTATTATATTGTTCTTTTTCACTGACATCACTATTCCTATGGAGCTGATTTTTTCATAAATTTTTTTAAAAAGCTGTTAGGATATTAATACCATAGACCAGTGGAGAAAATTTTACTAAGTTGTTTGGTCCTTCCTTAACATTTGTGAGGATTAGAATATTTACAGGAATTACATAGATAAAAAGTTGTGTGAACAAATCAGTTTATTTCAGAGAAAATGAGTTATAATTTATTCTTAAACTTTTTAGTCACAAAGTCATCATCAGGATAAGATTTATGAAGTAATCCAATTCCACTCATAAAACTGTTATTGTTAATTTACTAAGTCCTTTTCTAAGTGCTTTAAGTCAGTTCTCACAGAAGTTCTGTAAATGTTAGCAGATTATAATTTGTATTTTATTGATGAGTAAACTGGAACATAAAAAAGTGAGAATACTTGCTGGACCTCACTCAGCTAATCAGTAGTGCCTGTGCAGCAAACTCTGCCTTTGGCCTCTTATAACTAGGGGATGCTGATATTCTCACAAAGAAATCAGCCTAAATATTGTTTGTTCTGTATCAGGATGCAGCTGTGGAATTGGATTCTACAGTGGCTTTGTGAACACAGCTCCAATCACTGAGATTTTACCAGTATTTAATGCTTCGTAATATTTTCAAAAACAACATATTGTTTAGCTTTTGGGGATGGAGGGTAGCTCAGTTTATACCATGAAATAATAATGTATCATCTGTATTTGCATTGACTGTGAATACCTAGGAATTGTTCCTACATGCCAGTATTTCTTGTTGCATCACTGGTGGTGACTATCTTGTGATACAAAGGAATCAGGTGCATTGTGCATAAAGGGCATCTCGAGTAATGCTTTTGGCCTGCCTTATGAATTGGGCTAGATGAATAGCCATTTCTAGGTCTTTGCATTTAATTTTCAAAATTAGGTTTCTCCATTGTACACATGACTTTTCTGCCTTTACTCTCTTTCCTAGATTGTATTTGTTTTCTTTTTCATGATCCAGTTTATCCATCATATCCAGCCAAGGTAAATCTAGATATTGAGTTACTTAGAATTAAATTGATTCGGTTTTAAAAATCCTATTTGACAAATTCCCATGTCAAAATGATGTAACCTAATACTAAGAATACAAGATTCAGCAATTCTCATCAGGTGAATTTTATCCATATTTGGAACTCTAAACAGAACCACAGAGGAGTCAGATATGAAAAACACAATTAACTTAATATCAAATGTAGATAATTAGAATTCTAGTAAAGTATTAGCAAATGAAAAAGCATCTTTTAACTAATTAAGCAAGTTGACTATCAATGGTATATTTATGTGAAATATATGGAAAACAATACTTTTATGCATTACAATGTATTGTGTTATTTTTTCTTAATTACCTTCTACTTTAACTGGAAGAGCAAATTCTATTTAAATAATCTTAGATTGGATGAAACAAAAGCACAGAAGGTGGTGACCTGAGAGCACATAAATTCTCATCAGTTTTCTCCTTAATTGACTGCTCAGTCCCTGTCCCTGAACTTTACCCTCTTCTCAGTTTGATAAATTACTTGAATAACGTAATTTCTTAAACAAATTTTTATTTCTTACCTATAAACCTCTAATAAATTTCAGGTGGTGTCTAAGTGCTTACTACTTATCTCTACATACATATATACAAATACTGAAACTCATGACATGCACTAAACTGAACTAATAACTAGATACTCATCATTTCCTATTTTTAAAATTTTCTTTTTCATCACTTATACATTTGGTTTAGCCACAAAATAAACTAGACATTCTTCTAGACTTTTCCTTTTATTTCACTTCCTTATATTTAGTCTAGCATCATCAAAAATGGTGTAATTTCTGCAATGCATTTTGAGTCTGTCAACTCTTCTTTATTCCCATTAATAATACATTAATGGTCATTTGTCATTTTGCTCCAGAAGTGCTGCAGTGTTCCCCAGTTGATCTTGTCGTTCAGCTTGGTCTCCTGAATTCATCTTACCTGGTGAGCAGAGGTCCTGGGATAGACTTCAAAGGATATAATAATCTCTGGAAGCTTTTAAAAAGTATTGCCATTTCCACCCGCAGCCATAGCCTTCATATTCACACAAAGCTAGAATGAGCTTTTTAATATAAATCGATCATGTTATACAGCTACTTAAACAATTCTTCAATATTCTCCAATCCTTAGAGATAAACGTTACATTTGTCCTGCATGGCACAGGAGCCCCTTCATTTCCTAATCTTTGCCTCAGTGCAGTAACACAAAATTTTGGCTTCCATTATTTGCCGTCATTTATAACCAGTATTTGTGTTATTTAAAATCTATGCAGATACGCTGTTTTTGAATGTACTTTTCTCTTTTCACTAACAGAATTTTCTGTTGCTTAGAATTTTCATATGAAAACCACAATTTATTTTACTCTTCATTTACCTTATGCCATTGAATCGTTTCCATGTTTATCTGAAAAAAAACTGTTTAGCAACTTTTACTGAAAGACATTATCTTCATAGAGTTACCAATATAAGCCTTATTTTTTCCTTTCCTGCTAGTTCTATGCACAAAATTTTCTCTATGAGTATTGTTTCCCAGATCTGTAGGGCAATCTACACCTCTTTTTCCTAGTTCATTCCCACTCATTCTAAAGACCTCATGTCAAATGGGACTTCCAGATGTGTTCAGGTTCACTTTTCAGTTCTGGGACCCTGAACTGGTAGTATCAGCATCGCTTTGGAACTTGTTAGAAATGCAAACTCATGAGTCTTCACTCACATCCCCACTAGATGTTAAGATCTATAACATAAAATTTGATTCTGTTTTTGTTGTTTTCTTTGTTTCTGTTGTGTTAACCATTGTATTTGATATAATTGTAAAAAGCCTTGCATATAGTATGTACGATGCACAGAGGAAATAGTTACTGAGTAATGAATACATGAGTAAAGTCATTGCTGGGTATTTCCTTGCCCTTCTTGTTATCCTGGAACCTCTTTGCTCTTGTCTAATGGATAAACAGATATAAAGATAGATCTATTAATGAGATACTAAATTTTCCAGTAACAAATGTTGCCTCTCTTCTTTCTCAGGCAAAGTGAACATTAGTATCAATGAGAGGTTGGGTGCAGTGGCTCACGCCTGTAATCCCAGCACTTTGGGAGGCCGAGACGGGAGGATCACCTGAGGTCAGGAGTTTGAGACCAATCTGACCAACATGGAGAAACCCCGTCTCTGCTAAGAATACAAATTAGCCAGATGTGGTGGCATGTGCCTGTAATCCCAGCTACTCAGGCGGCTGAGGCAGGAGAATCACTTGAACCTGGGAAGCGGAGGTTGTAGTGAGCCGAGATCACCCCACTGCACTCCAGCCTGGGCAAGAAGAATGAAACTCCATCTCAAAAAATATATATATTATATAATATTTAATAGAATAATATATAATATAATATTTTATATATAATATATATCATATAGTTAAACATATATTATATATAATTATATTACATCATATATTATATTATATTGTATTATTATGATATATATGATATATGATATTATATATAATGTATGATATATTATATAATATATATTATATATATAAGTGAGATTGTACAAATCAAGTTGGAAGTAATCATTATGCTCTGAATATTTAGTTACTTTATGGTATGAATGTCCACATAGACACAGAGTGTGTGTTGAAGTTGAAGTATCATGGAAAGCTGACTAAGTGGGAAAAGAACCATATTTCAGATTTAGATTTATGTATAATATTTTATTCCTTATTTTAATATAATCTCAAGAATTATAATATAGTACAGAACAATGGCCTGCTTTGAAACCAGTTATATGGATAAAGTACTTGTTTCTGTGGATGAAGTGTTAACACAAGGATATACATGCTTGCACTAGTATGAATGTTTCATGGCTGAGATGTCATCCAGTCAGGGAACATCATGACAATGCACCTTGAAGTCACCTTCATTTCTTATTTTTCACAATTAATTAAGAAACATCATTCATTACAAGACTATTTTCAATTACTAAAATAAAAACTCATTCACACATCTTTTAAACCACACTGAGCTCTTTTGACTCTCACTTATTTTATTCAAAATGAAGCGAAACTGATACATTTTTTATTATTTTATATGATACTGACTTGATAAGTCTCTGCAGCCATGCTTGATAGACAGTTATCTCTTCTTAATTAAATGCATAGCATTTACATTTTAAATTCCTATAACAGGTCTTTTGATCATAGTGCCCTAAAACAGAGAAACTTTTAATATAAGCGGATGTTTATTATCATCTTATTTGTTTTTTAATGCTAATAAGAGTCATAGAAACTAATAGACTATTAATGAGGACTTTATGCCACTTTAGAAGTTTGAGTGAAAATAATATAAAAATATATGTTCAAATGAATACTTTCACAAGAGCATTCAAATACCAAACACTCACAGACTCACAGAGAATAGCTTAATATTGTCTCATTCAAAATGAATAGTTAAAATAAAATGTAATTGCATAGAATGCTGTTTAATTTGTAACTGCCCAAGCAATTATTTCAGATTTGTCCCATCTCAAATATGTGAATTTTTATTTTACAGTGAAAAAGGCTTTGTCATTATCCCACGTAAATATGTATACTGACTATGATTTTGAGAGAAAATTAAGGAGTTTTTTATAGTTTTTTTATTAGTTCTATTATTATTGGTTAAACTAAATATCTGAAAATATGTCTAAACTTATTTTTTATCGGGCAGGCCACATGGCTAGAGAGTAAGAAATACAACTAAAATATCCCTCTAGCATAGAAAATAAATGGTAAATGGCATTTGTTTGATGCCATTTGGTATATCAGATGATACCTGGTGATACTTCATTGGTATATCAGAAGGTTAGAAAATCATCAGACTGCATCTTAATATATTGGTAAAATATTTCATCATTATGAAGATATGAAAATATATAAAACTTTGTAAAGCAGAATATTTGAGTAGAAAGATACCTAAACATTTTGATAGAATAAACATTTGTGTAATTTTATCTGTTTAAATTGGCAAATAATATATATATAATCAGTTATAATATTTATGTAGCCTGTTTAACTACTTTGAATGTTACTCCTGTGGTTTTGTAGCTCATGATTAGCAAATCAGTTTATGTGTGTGTATGTGTGTGTGTGTGTGTGTGTGTATATATATATATATATAACATATATATTCATTGTGATTATAAGTCTCATGAAATTAATTATATTTTAAATTGCTTAAATATGTTTTTATAGTTTTAAGGAGAAAACAATATATAATCTATTTTAATAATTAACTGATTAAGTATTATATTTATTTACTACCACATAAAAGTTAATATTGACTATGAAGTATGCCACCACGAATTTGTTCAACTGCAATTTTACATAATAAAGTATATTTTGATCAGTTTTTTACAGATAAAATATCATGTAATATTGAGTCAACATAAAGATATACATCATAGTATTTATTTTTGTCATTTATAAATTTAGTTTTGGTGAATAAAATAATTTTCTTAGCTGAAATTTTAATTGCTAATTTATAAATAACATATTTAATAACAAACACATATGTTAATATGTTTGGCAAGCATAATAAATTAAGAAATTGTAATTGAATTAAAAACTTTATTGAGATTATTTCAACACTTAAAAAACACCAAATACGTTTAAGTGCCAAATTCTCACCATAATTTAAAGCTGAATGATTTATTTGATGCTGAATTAATTTTTCCTTTGATACATTTGTCCTCTTTATATATCTTTTCTCCATTATCCAACAGAAACTTAGACAAGGCCACAGGTAACTTTTTTATTAATTATAATATAATAGCTTGTATAAGTTATTAATCTCAATTCTATTTCCCAGTTTGTGCACTCACTTCTTGAATCTCTTCCCTGACCCTTACTATTACTTCTGTGACACTGAAATATCCTAGTTCTCTTTGGATGAAGAACACTTTGCCAAAAATCAGTTGTCTTTTGGGAGGTTAGCTGAGTGAAATTGATATTTGAAGGATAGACATAGTGCTGTTTCTGTCTACTTATAAAACAACTATCTTAAAATTTTTACCTATACCACAAGTTCAACCTGTCCAGATTCAATGGCCATAATTTCCTCGGGAAATCCTTTTTTAGTCACGTGTTCTTCATTGGCTCGTGGTGTAATATTTTATCTATTCCCCCAGGATGGACATCAGGAGATGTTTTATCATTTTCATCATTTTATCTTTTACAATGGATTATCAAAATTTACATTATTTGCCAGGTGTGGTGGCGTATGCCTGTAATCCCAAAACTATGGAAGGCCAAAGCAGGAGGATTGCTTGAGCCCAGGGCTTCAAGACCAGCCTGGGATACCTGATGAGACCCCGTCTCTAGAGAAAATAATAATAATAATAATAATAATAATAATAATAATAATAATAATAAAAATCATACAGGCGTGGGGACATGACTGTGGTTTCAGCCAGTCAGGAGGCTGAGGAAGGAGGATCACTTGAACCCCAGAGGCTGAGGCTGTAGGGAGCTATGTTTATACCACTGCACTCCAGCCTGGGTGACAGAGCAAGACCCTGTGTCAAAAAAAATACATTTTATTTTCTGTAAAATACTGATGAATAATACTTGTGTCTTGTTCTAGTCCTGCTAAATGTCATTGTTACATTCTACTTAACTTTTCTCACTAGCCTAAGATCTACTTGAATACAGTCTTTTTCTCTTCCTGCATAGCAATACAATGAAAAATATTAAATCAGTGCTTTCTGTGTCACATATTCTGTGTTACAATATCTCATTGCTCAGTATTAAAAATCTAAAGTTCTGTGTTATTAAGAACTTAAATTTAAATGTTCTTAAACTTTCACCACAATATTAACTATTCTTCCCATTGTAACAACACACTTCTCTCGTAGGTCAACTTCCTCACACTTCTCTTACCCAATTACCCATTTCCATGAGAAATGATTTTCATTTCCAGAAGAATGCCCTTTTTTATGTTAATACCCTGATCCATTCTCTCTATCCATCTATAACTTACATACATATTTAATAACCTTCAACATTTTTAAGATCAAAGAAATTTACTCTTTTTAATGAAAACTTATAATCTCTTAATTGATAGCAAGGAATCTATTCTCAGATCTATTCATATAAGCTAATACTGTCTAACCAACACGAATGAAATTTACTGATAAGAAGCAGCATTTCTTTAACTACCAGTTGTCTTTCAGTTTTCCACATACAAAAATTAACACTGAGCATGGAGTATCTATGTAGATATAGATTGATAATTTTAATATTAAAACATTTTAGACAATAAAGTACAAATGCATCTGGTTATTTTACAACTTATTCCCAATTATTCTTTTACTTATACAGAAAATAATTTTCCTCCAGAAAATAAACAGGCATCTAACATTAGGTCAAATGAGTCTAATAAATCTTTCATTTAGTTTTGACATCGTTTATTTAATTTTATAATGTAGTATTTCACACTTCATAATGTTAAATATATAGTAATCACCATAATGAAATAATGTAATATAATTTTTTTCTAAACATTTTCAACAGATATTCCTCTGCGGTTTTTAAAAATTATTTTTATAATTATGTTGACAATTGTACTGGAAAAATCTACCAATTATTACTTATCATAATTGCTGTCTATGTGTGGAAGTCATCTTGCTTATGTTAGATTTCCTCAAGCCATGTATTATTTCAAATATATTCATGAAGTCCGCAACTCTACGTCAGTCCTTATTCTACAAGTGGATATACAGAGATGTAAATAAAACTGACATGGTCCTTGACCTGCAGGAAAATTAAAGAGATTCTTTATGCCTTAGTTTTAAGAGCTCTAAAATGGAGATCATGATACCAACCCCGTAAGTGTATTTTGAATAACAACTGATTTAATGCAGTGAGGGGCATAGAATTTTATCTCATGCATAGAATACATTGAATAAATGTTAGCTTATTCCAATGCAACCTGAACTGGCACCAGGATTTTTGATGGCCAAATTATAGGGGAGACTCATTTGAATTTATATTTAACTAAATATTTTAACGTCTTTGCATATATATTTGGGTTGTTAATATAATTTATGTAGTTGATTTATTTATACCAGGTTTTGGTATTTCACAATATTTTTTGTCCTTACAGTCAGGCTTTTGTTTGTTTGTTTTTTACTGAGATTGAATTTTGATTTAGCGAACCCATAATTTATCTCAATTTTGCTTAATATACATATTTCATCAGCTTTCTATGTCAGTATATGAATCATATGAATCACAAATGCAATAATCACAAATTACAGGGGTGATGAGTTTATAGAGTGCTTCTAAATTTTGCTAGAAATTTATCTTGAGTTTCACATTAATTTTTCCCATAGGACCATTTGATCATGGAGCATTAATTAAGGATATGTTGAGTGTCCATGAATATTATTTTCTCTGGAACAAATTTCTCTGATTGTTGAAAGGGCTACTATGAGTGAATGTCAAATAGAAATTTAAACTAATTGTCACTACATTTTTGAAGATTTCATGTTATATTATAATTAGATTAACATGATTAATAATTTAGTGTTGCTGAATCCAATTTAGTTCACAGGGATTAATGCAGTTTATAGACATTTTTGCACAGTACTATTTTAATAATGTACTCTACTGTTATATAAACCCGTCATCTTCTTATAAAATATTTTTTCTATTTAAACTTTTTTCCTCTTAACAATTTCCTAAACTACATGTGTAACTTATGGTACTGGAATATCTAAATTAAAAAAAAAAGTCTTTTAAGTGTATCTTATGCAAGGATAAATATAATCTTTTCCCCAAAGAAATAATTCCATCATATAACACCGGATATCATTTTTAAAAATATTGCGTGTGAATATTAATAAATTTATTTAAATGAAAAATATGTACACTAGTCAAATAAGTTGAGAATTAGAGTTAAGTAGTGTGTGCAGGATTTTCAGTGCCTAAAATAGTAATACAAAGTGAAATCATCCAGCAGGAGATGTGGTAGTTTCCATTTTCCTTACTGAACCCAGGAATCATGGCAAAACGGTCTCATTTTCATTCCTTCAGAGATTATCTCTCAGGATTTGGTTTCTCCAACTTTCACTTGGAAAATTCTGACTTAGAAGAGTATTAACTTAAAATTGCCTTCAGGTCTTCTCTAGCAAGCTAAAAATATAGATGTATGTATACAGACACTCAAACTCAAATCACTCTCAATGAATTTCCATATATTTAAGAAGATTTGATCATTATTACAAAACTTGAAAACAGAAGGAATAAACAGGTTCATATAAATGTACAAATAGCAGTTAGTATTAGTATAGGTTTTATATATTGGAAATTATTGCAAAAATACATGATAAAACTTTAAAAATAGAATTTTGCAGGGGGATAGAACATTTTTTTTCTCATTAAAGCATTTTCCTGTGATAAAATTCTGTCGTTATTTGGAAGGTTCCACAAATGTCCATTAGCAATGTGAAGGGAAACATTTTTGAAAGCATTAATTTTATTATCTTTAATGCATAGTTGCATTATTGTAATATGTAAATATTTGGGGAAAAAAGAACGTTGTTAAATGAGTACTTTTGTGTAATTTCCAGTTTCTCAGAGTTTAATGTGACGTTTTCTCATCTCTTACAACAAAACAGGAACTTTAAGCGGGCATATTTATTCTCCTAAACTTTTCTAACCAATTTATTCAGTCACCTTTGTTCACTTTGTATTGTTTCTTAAATTATAACAGCTTAGCTTAAATTATAAGCTAGGCCTACCTACTTATTATTCGCACGTACGTAGTATTTTATTTGTTATGGAAATGAAAGAATTGGTACAGAGTGCTATAATTTTAAATTCAGTCATACATTGTTTTAGTCTGCACATTTTTGCCTTAATTTCACACACTATACAAGTCATGAGTAAAAGAAAAGCTCATAATTACTGCACAGATACAGAAAAATAGGCCAGATGTAGTGCTGCACATATGTGGTTTGTGGCTCATCAGATTGTTATTAATTGCATAGTAAAGACAGACTAGATAGTTAGAAAAAAGACATTTTAATTATTTTATCAAACAGGACAAGACATCCCAAGCTACTGGAACTAAAATGCAGAGATAATATAAACTGTACAATTACGTACTTTTCAGGTGATAAACTACATATCTATGGTATTGAAGCATAAAGTCACAGCAAGAATTTTTGTATGGTTATATTTACCTTCTTTATGCACAGTGAGAAAAACACTCTGAGAGTAGATGACCCAATTTTTCTTGTTTCTTATGCCCTCAAAATATTTCGTGCATTTCATCAGCACCCCTATTCGTATGAAGAACATGTTGGCCTAAAATAAATGCCGGAATATCAAGAGAAATTCTAAAGATGCAACATCAGCATCTCAAAAATGGGACGCAAGTAAAATGACCGATTTTTAAAAGAATATATATCTTTGTTAGGGATTTAAAACCTTTGTACATATACGCTGTTTAAAAAAAAAAAAGTCATCTTTAAAAAATGTAAAAAAAAAATCAGTGAAAAAGGTAAGCCACATGGTGGCTGTGTTTTAGCAGAACCCACGCATTGCCATTAGTTCACCCTATGGGCACGGTCATGTTAACACAGTTGAATTTCAGTCTGAGCTGAGACATGCTCGTTATGAATTATTTTGTTCTCCTGAGGTGAAGTAAATGAAAAAGGCTGACTTATTGTATCTTCCCCTCTGAGTTATGGCTTCTGACAAACCTGCAGTCTAACCCCAGCACTTCTAAATGGGTGACCAAACATTATGTGATTCCCCAAATTTAAGGATAGACAGCGGAGGGTAAATTCATTGCTCACTGTTCTATCTGAGCTTGAGTGTATATGGGTCAGGCTCTTAGAAAGGTTTCATTTTTCCCTGTAGAGTTTTTCTCATCTCCAAAATATGGCATTAACTTTGATAAGATCCTTGTCCTCAAAACCTTGTTCCACTTTTTAAAAGAGAAAGAACAGGTCATTCTGGATATTACACTGTATTTTTTATTTTATTTTATAATATGAGAGTTTCACAAAATAACTAGTAGTATTAGAATTTGCTTCGAAATCTTACTTTACTAATTATCTTTGTTTGCATATACCCTCTCCCTAGTTTTGTTAAAAGGCAATATGTGAAAAAGAGAAGAAAGTTAAATATTATTTTATTTTAAAAGAAAAATATTATGTTCTATCAAGTATCATTTATATATTTAACATATTGTATTTCTTTTTGATTTACAAGCACACCAAGATTATCACCAGTACATTACTATCACTAGTATTAGATGGGTAAATACTATCACTGGTATTTATTTTTTACAAAAGTGCCTTAAGAAATAAAATTTGTCCAAAAACTCCAGTCTTATTATAAACTTAAAATAATTGGCTCTAATATGTTTTGGGATGTTTATTTGGAAACTCAAAAAGTAAAAGAAAATTAAAGGGATCAGAAAATAAGTGCTAATATAATTAGCTATGTAAATGTAACTTTTTTTTTTCAAAGCCTAATGGATAGTGGTGTAATCGATATGCTTGTCACAAGATCTACTGTTTTATCTTTGTCTTTTGTTTTTTTCTTTCTTTGATTGGTTGGTTGGTTTTTGTCTTCCCACTGAAAATGAGTTTTTTATTCTCAATTTTCTCTTTTTTTTTCACCGTTATTGTATTAGTATTAGTTTTCTATTGTTGCTTAACAAATTACCACACACTTTCAGGCTTGAAACAATCCCATCTCTTGCCTCACAGTGCTGAAGGTCAGAAGTCCAGGTGGCTACATTGAGGCCTCTGCTTAGCCTCTCACACAGCTGAAATCAAAGTGCTAGCTATGTATTATACAACACACACACATACACTTACACTGATGCAAGTGCCTCAGTGATTTTAAAAATAAATAAACCAAAACACAGAAACTTCTACAGACTCTGCCTTCTTGGTTTAACTAAACTTGATAATTTTCCCTACGATTCTTTAAGCATTTAACTTCATATTTGAGGAAGTCAGAAAAGAAAATTGAAGACAAATGAGCTTATAGTACAGCCCGAAATGTATATGCAATTTATTACACATTTAAGCACAACCAAGTAAAAGAAACTGTAAATAATATACATTGGCTTTGAGAATTTTAGCTTCTTATGACAGAATTGATGGCATCTTTCAGCAGGCGTGACTGAGTATGCGTTAATCTCTCCTTAGGGAAATATACAATTACTGATTGTGGTAATTCTTTGGCAGGTTCACGTATGTTGCCTATTCAGCATCTTTATTATTCACTCTCAGTGTTTCACTGTAAAAAATGAGAAATGTTCATAATGAGGCAAAAAGTTGTTTTAGTTACATTTTAAAACTACTTATAGAAACTGAAAGAGTTGAACGTTCACGTATGTTGCCTATTCAACATATTTATTATTCATTCTCAGTGTTTCACTGCAAAAAATGAAAAAATGTTCATAATGAGGCAAAAATTATTTTAGTTGCATTTTAAAACGACTTATAGAAACTGAAACAGTTGAACATACACGTATTCTTGTGAAGAGAATGGCTTAAATGCTTAGAAATTTGAAAACTGGGGTTTATTTTTATCCATGTTGACAGGATAAAGGGTAAAATTGAAACATTTTAGCTTGTGATTTTGTTATAAGATTCTCAAATTCTTTTAACATCACTTCAACAGCATCAACAGCTTGATAATTTATAAATTTGCTAAAGAACTAGTATCATATTTGTCGTAGTGCATTTGTGCTGCTATAACAAAATACCTGAGACTGGGTAATTTATTTAAGAAAATTATTTTATCACCATTTTGGAGGCTAGGAGGTCCAAGATCAAGGTGGCAGCAGGTGAAGTATATGGTGAGTGCTCAAGTACTCTGCTTCCAAGATGGGGCCTTGTTACTGCATCCTCACATGGCAGAAGGCAGAAGGGCCAATGAGGTAAAAGCTATGTGAAGACACTTTTATGAGGGCACTAATCCCGCTCATAAGGGTGCAGCACTCATCATCTAATCATCTCCTAATGGCCCCGCCTCTTAATACTATTGTATTAGAGATTAAATTTCAATGTAAATCTTGGAGGGACACAAACTTTCAAACCATAATAATTTGGCACTCTCATATTTAATACTTTCAACAGTGTTTAAAAATTTAGAATTGGTACTGCAGATACAGACACATCTCATACTGATCAAACTCCCAAGTGTTTTAGATTTTCTTATTTACTATTTGTTTAATATGAGATCCACATATAGTAATTTAACTATTTTGATAGTCATTTGCTTTGATAATCATTTGACATTAATCCAAAGCCATGCCATAAATGTTCAGAATCATTTTAATTGAACGTAATTTAACAAAGCATTGAGAAAGGCACTTGTGTTTTCATTTTTTCCACAATTACTTCTCTTGATGGTGGTGGCAGTTATTATTTAATTATAGAATGTAGAAGGACAATTGATTTGACTTATAAATATAAACGACTTTCTAAAATACAGAGGTTAATATATTTTATAAATATTTTAGAAGTTTAAAAGTATCATTGTTCAATTCCCACCTATGAGTGAGAACATTCAGTGTTTGGGTTTTTGTCCTTGTGATAGTTTGCTGAGAATGATGGTTTCCAGCTTCATCCATGTCCCTACAAAGGACATGAACTCATCATTTTTTATGGCTGCATAGTATTCCATGGTGTATATGTGCCACATTTTCTTAATCCAGTCTATCATTGTTGGACATTTGGGTTGGTTCCAAGTCTTTGCTCTTGTGAATAAATGAGAACACATGGACACAGGAAGGAGAACATCACACACCAGGGCCTGTTGTGGGGTGGGCGAAGTGGGGAGGGATAGCATTAGGAGATATACCTAATGTTAAATGATGAGTTAATGGGTGCAGCACACCAACATGGCGCATGTATATATATGTAACAAACCTGCAAGTTGTGCACATGTACCCTAAAATTTATAATTTAAAAAAAAAAAGAAAAAAAGAAGTTTAAAAGTATCAAATAAGTGTGCTAGATAAAATCAGTTTACTCGTGCTTGGTACTTTTTATTATAGGCAGTTATAAAATTAAAAGTATTAACAACAATTACCATGGGTGCCTCAGATGTCTCAAACAGTTTCACACACACTTTGAATACTTTATGTAAATAAGTACTCTGAAGTATTGGAAATAGAATACTGTTATTCTCCTTTTAGAGTTTGGGAAACTAGATCTTTTTGGAAAACTTGTCTAGAGGCACACAGATTGCAATCCAATGCAGTTTTTTAACCTGCTTTGCTCAAGAGTCCATGTTGCAGTAAGTCATCATTTTAACAAACCATGAGTTTTAATTAAAAATAATTTTTATGTGTTGACATGAGATAGACATGCTATAATTCTTTGAAGGAAAGATCATTGTCTTTTTAGCTCTTATGTTACATATAAAAAGGATAATATCTATATAAAAATGCAAATATAGCTGCTAAATTTTAAAAATGTACAAGAAAATTGCATAAAGCAATAATAAAGAGATAACTTTGATATATGAGATTAATCATATATTAATTTAGAAATCTTTGTAATATCAGCATCAATTTTGAATATAAGAATTGTTTTAGTGATCAGAGAGATTAAATTCTAGATACAAAGCATCGTCAATTTCCTCCAGTGTAATTTATCCTGGGGTGGCCCTCTTATGCCAGGACTAAGAGTTGTCCATTGAAGGAGGCCCTCATGTTCAAAATCTTAGCCGCTGGCACACAGTTCCTAAAGGCAAACTGCAGACTTTCTGTTAAGAATGAAGAGAACCAAAGTCCTGCAGGGGAAATTACTATTCCTCACCTAGTCCAAGAAACATGTGCTTCCTAGAGTGAGGAGAATAAGTTATGGATTTTCAGGTTGTTTTAGAGCCTAGTTCTTGTAAAGAGAAGATGTTTTATAGAAATTAATGATATTTTGCTTTTCAATTGGAAAATACATTTAAATCTAATTCAGCAAAACTAAAAGTGTGTATTTTTAGATCAAGTGTTTTCAATTTTACAATTAAAAAAATGAAACTTTAAATTACTTCAGAGACCATGGATTATTAGTAACAGCAACTGTATAAACCTATTTATTAAAAACAAATTGATAAATATTTCTATAAATTTCAAACTGTATTTCAAATAATATCTAAAACCCTTCTTTTCTAAGGATATATGAATTCCTTATACTGCTTTATATTGAGACATTTGAAGTCGTTGGTTCTACCGAATTTGGATTGTGTGATTTATTTTTTGAAGTTTTATTGGAGAGTTAATGTTACTGAAAAACTTTTATATTTTTATCTTCACATAATACAGATTAATTGATTTTAAAACTTTGAATGTTAAATGATTATTTTTAATCACAAGTTTTTATTCTTCTTTGTTCTATCACATTCCCTCCCAAGTGAAAATCTTATATGTATACACAAAAGCTTTGAACAAATTTGGTAGCAAACTGTAATTGATGACACAAGAGAGTACAAGTTTAATTAACTAGATTCTGATTAGATTTTATAAATGTTACAAGAAATGATTAGCACTGTCCTAACCTTGATTTTTAATATGTTACATATCCTGTAAGACCTAAGACTAATATTATTTTCACCAAACCTCACAATATAGTTAATTGCCTGCTTCTTCATTCCCATACCATGTTGTTTATATTTCAATTTTATCCCAACTTGCTAGTAGGTAGTTGTATAAATAAATGGTTTTCTCCCACCGACACACACACAAACACACACAGAAAGAGAAAGACAGAGAGAGAGAGGGAGAGAGTAAATTGGCATTTCAATCTAGACATATAATGTTCTGCTTGGAATTTAACCTAGCACTGGGCACCCTTTAGTACTTCACAAACATACATTTCAATTGTTACTCTATGTATAAACATCAAAATTGAGATCAGAAACCTGTATAAATATTTGTCAACAGAAACCTAGTGGTTTTTACAATATGTCATCAGTTTCTATTTTTCTTTGTTTGCTTGTTTGCACCAAAAGTGCAACTTTTGGTCACTCCCACCTGACATTTTATATATTTATAGACCTTTAACAAGTTCTAATTCTAGTTCAGCTGGAATAATTTTCTTAAACTCATCTACATTTCTAAGCTGTCCAAACGAAATAAGAAAATGTATTTCTAAACTGACACTTTTTCTAGAGTCAGACTCAATAACACTTGATTAAATGCCAGCATAATCCACCTATGGTAGTTTTAATTTTAATATGCCATCTCTATCTACTACAAAAATTACAAAATTACATTTTAAGAAAAAAATGATTTAAAAAAGTTAAATGTTGATTCTGAATGTTTTAAATTTGATTAAAGAAAAAACACGAATTATTATTATCACTAGACTTTAGAAGATATGGTAAAATCAAATTGAATATGATATCCTGGCAGTCATTCCAGTTAAAATACTGAAAAGAGTTGCCTTATGATTATTTTTTAATGTGTTCAGAAATAAGTTACTCAGAAGTAAATTTCCTGCCTACTTGCATGGAAGGTAACTCTAAGGGAAATTGCATTCAAGTTGGTTATGCCTGAGTATATTTCACAGCCAGAATTTCAATTACTAAGGACCTTACATTAGTGTGGCAAGAGAAGTCTGTCAGTAAAAAAAAAAAAAAAAAAAAAAAGAAGTGAGTAGACTAAAAGTATCTCTTCTCTCGTGCTTCCTCTGTGTATGGGCAGAATCAATTTGCTTTCATCTTAATCCCAAATAGAAGAAGCAATTGACTTTGGGGAAATCCTGTAAAATTTATTGCTGACAGCCTGTTAGAGAGTGCTTTCTAAGGATGACAGAACACATGAATTGATTTTGCTTCCAGAGACACCGGGATAACTGATTCTCTCAATCACAGAGTGTAGCTCTGGGGTTTGTTGTCACTTTTCCCTGCAGTTTGAAAGGCTTATATCAAATATTCAGGAGGAAAACTTAAGAGGAGACATCCAATGTAGCACTTAATTAGTGTGACATATCCAAATGCCATTGCCTGTATGTAGATGATACGCAGAGTTAGTTTACTAAATATGAGAGAAAGAAAACATTGACAAATATGACAACAGGATTTAAATATTTCCAAATATATTAATAAACAAAACAATACATTTATTCCACAAATATTAAATAAAATCAATCTTAAGATAGTTTAGATAGAAACTCTCTTCCTTATTTTAAATATATATATATTACTGATACATTAGTGAATATATATATATTCACTAATGCAACAACTCTAACAACTCTAATGTCTATAATGCACAAATGCATATAATTATTAAATGCAAAGGTTGATATTAAAAGATGATTTCAAATGCAATTCTTCTTGAGTAGATAATATTTATATCTTATCATCATGGAATGTGTGTATATAGATACATGTACATATACATAGACACATATGCAGGATGTGGTATGCATATACATATACATGTATCAATATATATTGAAATCTAGACACATATGCTACAGAGGAAGGGAAATACTGGGTAAAAGAGGGCAGTTCCCTGGCAAAGGCCCCACTCTCAAGCCTAGAAAACTGCAGCGCTAAGTGCGAACTGGCATTCCAGCTTTTGTGCCTAAATGTTGCTTTTGGGCCTGCCACACCCCCCTATCCTGTACCCATATAAACTCCAAACCCCAGGCTCCATGAGCAGACGCATGGTTGAACAGATGAGCACAGAAGCAGAAGAGCAGCATGGCAGAGGAGTGTCTGAATGTCGAGAGTAATTCAGCAGGGGATGGTTGGAGGGGAGAATGGCTGTGAGATGGTCAAACTCCAGGGGAAGATGATCTTCCTAGTCCATCTCCTTTCCAGCTCCCATTCATTCTGCTGAGAGCTACCTCCCTCCGGGAATAAAATCCCCCGCCTTTACCATCCTTCAGTTTGTCTGTGTGATCTGATTCTTCCTGGACACCAGACAAGAACCTGGGTACCAAGAGGGCACTGAGCTGGTTATCACTTAAGCCATCAGTGAGCAGCAAAGCTAAAAGAGCACAGTAGCATGCCCACTGGAGCTTCAGGAGTCGTAGGCACCACCCCTTGACACTACCATGGGGCCGGAGCCCAATAGCACTTTCCCCAGCTCTTAAACCCGCCTGTCTGCGTGCTCCCTCTCCTGTAAGGGGTTTGAATGCACAGCGGCTAAACAGATGAGCCACACGTCTGTGACACATCCTGCAAAGGGAGTCAAGGACCTCTTCCAGTTCACATATGCATTTATACATGTATGCATGCATATAATCAGATTTCATATATTGGCATATAACATATTGTAGTTTCAAATATACTGGTGTAGACAGGATTTTCACTTTTTAGTTATGTAATACAAAACAAGGAAAAGAGTATTATAGAAGTGCTATCACCTCTTCTTGCTCTTATCATCATAACTCCATCAAACATGCAATAATTAAACCCAAGACCAAAATGCACCCATTCTATTTTTAAAATTCTCTGTTACAGGGCTGTACGTGAGTCCCATCCTTCTCCCTCAAAGTTTCTGCAGAGGCTGCTAAAGAAAGGCTGGGGACTAAACAAAATAATAATGCCTTGTTGTACTTCCCTGTGATGAGAAGTATGAGATTTATACACATTATGGGCAAAATAAATGACTCAGCTCTAGTTAGGGAAACATTAACAAGTCACACTCCAGCCTCTTCTACAAGAGATTATGCTTGAAAATGTGATAAAGAGGGCCTTATTGGTGAGAAGTGGCAGCATAGTGCCCATCACTCACTCACTTCCTCTAGTCCCTTCTCAGGCAAAGGCATGGAATTCTCCCGTTTACCTTGAGCCAAGTGCAGGCCATCACAAGAATGTACCTTGCTCACTGGAGCTTAAGGATCCTAGGAGTTGATAGGAGAGGCTACACAGCACAGGCTATGGTGGAAGAGACAGAAAGCCCAGGCTTGACTTGCAACAAGATGTATGTGTTCTACCACCAGCAAAATGAGATGGCCTGGGGGGATCTTTCTCTAGGGGACTGCCTGGAAGTTTAAAAGAACCTTCAGTGAGAGAAGTGCCAGATTTCTTTGATGTAAAAGATGATCAAGAAGTTCTAAGTAAGGTGCCACCAATGGGCTGGACATTGTCTAGGTGAAGGTGAATGCAGTCACAGGTCACTAGTGGGGAATGTCAGAATCCACAAAAATGGTACCTGAGAAAGATTCAGCAAGGATACATCAACCACAGAGAGGGTACCAACCCGTGATTACAGTGAACTCGGCCATGTTTGACTGTGCAGCTTTTAGCAAATCCTCCCCTTCTTCTAGGTCTTATTCTGAATGGTTCTGAAATAGCCGCTAACTAGGGATTAGAGAGAGAAAAAAAAGACTCAAGCTCAGGGTCTGCTATTCTAGACTCGATTGTTGCTATGCAATGACTACCCTGGTTCAGAACTTTTAATCCCTAAGCAAGGAAGAAGTATTATTAAGTTGGTGTAAATGTAATGGCGGTTTTTGCCATTTAAAAGTAAAGGCAAAAACCGCCATTACTTTCGCAACAACCTAATATATTGGTATCTAAAAAACTAAGAGATGTCTGAGGTTTTATTCAGAAGCTGAAAAAAAAAATGTGTTTTCCCACAAAGCATATGCAAATAAATCAAGGGGTTAATAGTAGGTCAGTTTCTGGTTAGAAGCCAAGTCGAGGTAATTCAGTAAACCAGCTAAACCTGCAAAGATTTTTTTACCCTCCAATATGAAGCCATTTCAATATCTAAGAGCTGTCCTTGTAAATGAATGCATCATTTTTCTAAATTTAAAGAAAACGTTTATTTATAATCTTAATTATAGGCATAGTTTGCCCCCTGTTTGCCGTTTCTGATGCCTCTCTTAGCATCATGCCTAGTTCTGTTTCTTGTGGTCTCAGGGTTCTGCAATCTGTACTCCACAATTCCTCCAGACTGGTGTTTTGAGAATTCAGAGTTCAGTTGTTTCATTTTTTCTTTATAAACGCCAATCGTCACCTCCTCACCACCCAACCCCAACACTTTCAGAATATAGGCCAACTGTTTTGCAGCATTGATTTTTGTGATTAGTCTTCTTACCTACTTTTCAGGATGATGTATCCACATTCTTAAATTCTTTTTTTTAAAAAAAACTCTTTTTGCTCTAATATTCCTCATAAATATCATGTCTGCACATATCAATAGAATATAGCAGTTCTACTAGCTGACTCCTTCCCCATTATTTTTTGGCCTGGCAAATGTCTGTTTTTCCTTTGAAATCGAGAAGGTAACCTCTGATTTCTCCTAGTGACTTCCTTAGCTTTTTAAAACCATCATGCTGAGCTAAATCCTCCTATTTTGCTATGTTATCCTCTTGCTAATTTCTCTCATAGCACTAGGTCTGTCATAGCAATAGTAAAAAATAATAATAAATTAGACACACCTAATAACATAAAAATTCCCAGAAAAATATGACTTCTAAAGAATATCACATTTTAATCATTTAGTTTAAACATGTGAATATAATAATTATATTAAAAAGAAAAAAATTTAAGTAATAACATTAATGATAAAGTGTAAATATTAAAAAGGCTGTTCTACTTAACTGTATAAAAATTACATAAAATGTTAGTAGTAACATGAATAGCATTAATAGCTATGAATCGTTAATCATTTACTTAAGCCTGGATATGTTTTGTATCCTTGCAAAGAAACTTACAAGTGTTAATATGTATATATGGTATATTTTTCTTTTATTTTCTAAATGAGGAAACTGCTATTCTGAGAGGTTAAGTAAATTCACAGAGCTAATAAAAAGTAAGACTGAGAGTGAACCCTATTTCTGATTCTTAAGTTTTTGCAGTTAAATTCTAGTTTTCAAAAAATGATTATTTAGACTGATAATTATTGTTTTTACTATACCTGCTTATCATAGACATTTATCCCTTCAAATGAAAACAGAAATGCAGGTTAATACTTTTAGCTTAGTTTCTGAGTGTTCTCAAGGGCCTTTTCATGGTGAATTAGGGAAGCAAGGAAAATTTTATCTTATAGTTTCAATGAGATTACCAAATAATTTCCAGTTTGGGATGTCTTTTAGATGAAATACTGTCTCTGATTAAACTTTTATCTGTCTCCCTTAACGTCTTCTTTGACAGAATTTGAGTTGTTATGCTTTTGATACTGATAGGGTATGCTGACCTCTAACCAGTTATTGGCTGATCTTGAAGATCTGGAAGGCCAGGTTTATGTTATGATATCTTTAATAATGTTTCAGAACTACGTATTGAACTACCTATGAAGAAATGTCTTTGACAAGCAATTCTGTTGAACACATTTTTTTAAATCCAGAGATTTTTTTCTAGCAATTTTATTTCTACAATATTTTCTGAAATTTTTAAATTTATTTTATTTATTCTTCTCAGACACATTTAGGAAGCACATACTGAAGAGATCATGTAAAACAGTGGTTACATAAAGAGTGATTTCCTAAAAAACTTGAACCTATGAGTCCATAATAACTTGTTTGAGAAATAACACACACATCGTCTTTGATTGTAGACTGAGGCTAATTTACTAAACTATTATTAGGTATGCTAGAAAAATATATTAAAACAAAGCAGTTGACATATAATATGCTCATGTATTTTTAGCTTACTAAATGTACTCTTTTTTGTCTACTTTTAGCATAAAGCATATTGATAGTAATAATTATCATAAGTTCAACCATTTTAATATGATAATTTTAAGATAAGTTCTATACTAGAACTGGAACAAAATTAAAATATATTTTGTCTTGAAATGAGAATTTAATGCATTGTAATTTATATAGTTTGTGTAAAACCATCTGAAAAGAGCTAATTCTGTCATTATTCTTCCCTAGTACATTTGTGATTACTCCCATATAAGGCTTCTTAGAAAAGATGTGGAAATACGTTTAATTTTCCCCTAATTGAATGAAAGATCCTTGTGACTAGGACCCCTATTATCTCTTTCATGGCAGTATGGTATATGGTACTCAATGTCATGTCACAAAATACACCTGTACAGGGATTGGCATGAGAAAATATGCTTCGCTTGCTTGTTGTGGAAATCCAACAGATTTTTCCAAGTGTGAGTGTCCTCTTTATTTTCTCTTTATCTCCATTAGCTCAGACAATGTAGGGAGGAAATTTGGTTCCTATTATTAATATTAGCTTTTGCTTTTCAATTTGTCTTATTTATTGAGCCCTATCAATTTGTACAGAAAGCTGTGAATCTACAATACGAATTTAAAAATGTTTTGACCAAAATTATTAGTTAACAAAAGTGACTGTTGTGGTTATTTATATTTCTAATATTAGTGCTTTATCTGTCTATTGTATCTGTATTTTTCTTTTATGGAGATAGGAAATTTTAAGCCCAATGTTTTGGGAAAGAGGGATTTCTTCCAAAGTGTACTACATAGAAAGCAACCTTAATTAAACATTTTATGATGCTTTTGCTCCCACCATCAAGAGGCAGCTTTTGTGTTCCTTCATTTTTCACATTGCTTCATATCATACATATCATATTGCATATGTGTGTACAGTAAGTATTGAAAATTATATTAGTATATTGTTATATATGGCAATGGAGTTAATAGCAAAAATTCCAATTGCAAAAAGTAAAATTTTTTAAAATTTGAGCCATAAGTCAGTACCAGTTGTCAATCATTCAAGCATGTGTGTCTTTGACATATAGTTTGATGAGATGAGAAAACAGTATTGACTCACAGTCATCCACCATTACTCAATATGTCCACAAGAAAGCATAAAAATTCTAAAATTCCTTGACCCATTCTGTAGAAAAAAAGTTAGGTGAAATAACAAATACATATATATAAGAACCCTGGAAGTTTTAGGAAAAAAAAGGTAGCCATTTAATGTTGGACTTTATCATATAATATATAATGTAATAAAATACCATTTTTTCAAAAGCCTATTTTTTATGATGAGACCTTTTTGATGAGAATTTTAGAAGAACTGTGGGCATTGAAACCCAATATTTTACCTTGATATATTGACCATTTTATTCCTTTTTAAAGTGTCTATTGCAGGTATTAGTAGTTGTGAAGGGAAAACCACTTGTTTTGATGCCTTTTACCTCAGCTAGAATTCAAAGACATAAGTCAATTGGTTAAAAGCTGTAAATAAGAACAGGAAATATTTACATATCAGTAAATATTTTTGGATATTTCTTAAATAGATGCAAAGGTAGAAAAAATCTTCCAAATATTTAACCCACATGAAGCCAAATATTGAGATCTCAGAATGATAGAGACTGGACTGAAGCTGAACACATATCTTTAACTTGTATATATTTTGCTTCTTATGTTTAAAGGGGAGTATGTAAGATGACATCTCATGTTAGACTAGTTCCTTCACTTAAGGGACAAACAAATACTATTGAGTTTATTGGCATTCAAAGACTATTTCTGTTCTACAATTGCAAATATATTAAAGAGCACAGGCATTTCTGTATGGATATCTCAAGATTTGTGAGAAGCTGGTTTAATATTAATCTTTATTATTACATGGATTTCTAAAATGGTTAGGCCTGAGCAATTGATTTTTAGATTCCTCTACCATGTCGATTTCTTTCCTCCTTACCTGAAATATCTTAAGAAAATTGTGAGTTACAGAAATTAGCAGGGATGGATGAGAAATAGCTTCTGCCATAAAACTATCCTTCCTGGGAGAGGAAGGGAAATATGGAGCCTATCAAGAATATACAACCAGAGTCACAAAATAAAGCAAATAGCTTCATTACATTAAATAAATATATAAATGTCATTTTTGTCTAACTCTGCATGAAAAAAAAAACCTCTCCATATACAAAATTTAATGTACTGTGTGAAGAGTAAGAGTGAGAAAGAGGATATTTGGGGTCATAAAAATAAAAGTATTATAATATTGGTTCGAAGCTAAGCTTTTTTGATTCATTGTTAAAATGACTGAATGGAAATCAACACCTGATTATAAATAATTCAGCATCAAAGACAAAGAGATTTCATGTACAAAAAAGCTGTGAACATCAATAGAATAGCTAAGAGGTAAAAGACAAAAAAAAGAGATAGAATTAATTAGGCAGACCCTGATATTTGTTTCAAAAGTTGAATTTGAAAACAATAAAACAAAACATAAAAATTGATCACTGATATGCAACTACTTAGGAGACATTCTAGATCATCTAATCTGACTGCCTCCCTTTATTATTATTATTTTATTTATTTATTTATTGAGACCAAATTGTGCTCTGTTGCCCAGGCTGGAGTGCAGTGGCATGATCTCGGCTCACTGTAGCCTCCGCCTTTTGGGATCCTGTGATTCTCCTGCCTCAGCCTCTCAAGTAGCTGGGATTAAAGCTGGGCGCCACCACATCAGGCTAAGTTTTGTATTTTTAGTAGAGACGGTTTTTCAACATGTTGGCCAGGCTGGTCTCGAACTACCGACCTAAAGTGATCCATCTGCCTCAGCCTCCCAAAGTTCTGGGATTACAGGTCTGAGCCATTGCACCCAGCCTGCTTCTCTTTATAACTGAAACATTAACTGAAAGTCCAAGGCTGAAATATGCTTCGATATGGTTGTAGAATCTAAGACTTCACCTCAATGGTAAGTTTGACAGTTCTGCCTTCAATTGTCTTGAAAACAAATCACATTTTTATTTTTTTTCTGCCTACATAGCTCTATTTTCAAGTATTTTTGGATTTCAAATATTTTTGATTACCAAGACAGACCTAAACTATCTAATATGAATTGTTTCTCTATTGATTTTCTCAATTTTTCTCCTACTGACAAATGAAAGTAGGGTTTTCAAAATAATTGGTGGACACCTCCTCTATTCCACCTTCAGTCTCCTCTAGGGTGTATGCATAATGAATAAAAGAGAATACAAACGCAGGGTGAGTATGAAGTGATCAATTTGCTGCAGGGCAGAGCTGATCTAGGTTTTCAGACACAATGACCCTCTGATTCTACTGGATGTGGTTCCTGTGTAAGCTCCACAGGGAGCAGAGATGACATTACTGCTTTTAAATTGCCTCTATGTCTCTATGTGCTTGTTGCTAGCCTCCAGAGTCCACTACAATAGGCATCTTTTTTTTTTTTTTTTTTTTTTTTTTTTTTTTGATGGAGTCTCGCTCTGTCACCTGGGCTGGAGTACAATGGCATGATCTTGGCTCACTGCAACCTCTACCTCCCGGGTTCAAGTGATTCTCCTGCCTCAGCCTCCTGAGTAGCTGGGACTACAGTTCTGTGCCACCATGCTCAGCTAATTTTTTTTTTGTTGTTATTTTTAGTAGAGACGGGGTTTCATCATGTTGGCCAGGATGGTCTCAATCTCTTGACCTCGTGATCCGCCTGCTTCGGCCTACCAAAGTGCTGGGATTGTAGGCGTGAGTCACTGCACCCGGCCTTACAATAGGCATCTTTAAATTACATTATTTTCTAATACCAGAAGGGATCCAAAATTTTGCATTTCTTGCCCTTACGTTAGGGATGTCTACTTTTATTTTTTTAACCTTAAGTCAGTAAAGACCATAACTCCTGCATCTTTATCTTATGAACTCATAGTTCTTTCCCAGACTGGTGAGTTTTAAATATGCTAAAATCTATGATTAACTTTGCAATTTAAAAAAATGCAACAATGTGTTTCAGTGCTATTTCCTTCCATTATGGTTCTCCCTTCCAATTAACAGCATTTTAAAATCTGAACGGTCATTATTTTTCAGTGAGAAAGTTTCCTTCTCCACCTTATCCTCATCCATCTTTTTCTCTTCTATCCCTTCTTCTATCTTTGACCATTGCATGTTGTATTTTATTTTTTAATACTTTGTTGTCATTTATAAGATACTGAAATCCATCCCCTGTATTAGCATTGCTCTCTCATTCCTGCTTTCTTTACTATTCTCCAGAAGAAAACTTCAGTATTTTTCATACATCCTTTATTCCATTTAGATTTTTCAGTGTTGATTCTGTAGTATCTTACTTCTAATTTTTTATTAAATTAATTTAAGGCCGGGCGTGGTGGCTCACACCTATAATCCCAGCACTTTGGGAGGTCAAGGCAGGTGGATCACGACGAGGTCAGGAGTTTGAGACCAGCCTAGCCAATATGGTGAAACCCCATCTCTGCTAAAAATACAAAAATTAGCTGGGCATGGTGGTACGTGCCTGTAGTCCCAGCTACTCAGGAGGCTGAGGCAGGAGAATCTCTTGAACCCAGGAGGTGGAGGTTGCAGTGAGCCGAGATCACACCACTGCACTCCAGCCTGGGTGACAGAGTGAGAGAGACTCCATCTCAAAAATAGTAATAATAATAATTTAAGTTTATTGATGAATGTTGTATTTTTTTTAAATGCACTTTTTTCTCACGTAGGCTGTGTGTTTATCTGCATCCCAGTCTTACCCATCTCGGTAAGTGCTGTAATTGCTCAGGTCAAAAAATAAAGATAAACAAACAAGCCATTCCTGACATTTTTATTTCTCTCCTCACTTTACAACCAGTTCACCAATAAACCTTCTCAACTTTTCCTTCAACATATTATACATCCTGAATCTAATTACTTTATTTTCACCTCTATTTCTGCTGTCTTAGGTAGAGACATGATGGCCTCACATTGAAGATCTCCATGTCATCATTTGTCGTTTTCTTCTATTTATTCTTTTCTTGCTTCCATATATTGTATTCTTCGCAAAACAACAACAGAAGGATCTTTGTAAAATGTTCACAATCACAGTAATGTTAATAGATGATATTATTTCTATTCATCTACTTCTTCCTTTTTATAAAGTAAATGTATCTGTATACCTGCTACTTTAAGATTTTCAGGAGAAAGTTCACTTTCTCACCTCATCGATAGCGTTGGCATTATGGCTTCTAGGGTAATGAGATGTTAATGGCAGTCGCATGAGTCACTTCCCAGCAAATTTTATCCATCTTTCTTGTGTTTCCTTTCTGCCTTAGGACGTGCTTATTCAGCACTGATTCCAGAATGAAATGACACAGAAAGTGAAATTGCAGCTGACCAAAGCTCAAAAATATATGATATAAGCAAGAAATAAATCACTACTCTTTACAAAACAGCTTAGCCTATACAGGATAAGACCTCTTCTACCTCCACTACCACGAACCACCCAATGCTTCATGCAGAATGGAAGTCAATAGCCAGAGCCTACAGACTATCCGTTATTTAGCCCTCTCTACCTCTCTGCTCTCCCGTTACTTTACCTCCCATCCATTCCACTCCAGCCACATTCGCTCCTAAGGTTCTTGGACTCCACTAGTTCCCTCTAGCTTTGCAGTTTGCTTTGACTTTCACTACTGCCTGGAAGGCTTTCTTTACATAAGCATATGGCTCATTCCTTCCCCTCATTCTCTGATAAATACTACCTTTTATTAAATGTCTTTTCCTATAACTGCACATAATATTCAAACTGAATCAACTACATATCTCCTACTCCATTTTTTGTCTTCATAAAACCCATTAGTTACAGCTTTGAAAGCAACAGCAGTATTGGATAACATTTATTGAGTAGTTACCACATGCAACCTCTATTCTAAGCATTTTTGATGTATCATCTCATTTCATCTTCTCCATAATACTATGAAGGCATTGCTATTCTCTTATTTTGCAGAGCAGAAAGGTGAAAGACAAGGAGAAAAAGGAATTTAATCACAATCACATAGGATTAAGTGAAAGTCCCTGGAAAAACCTGGGCATTCTCTTTTCAGGGAATGCACCTTTAGCCAGTATGGTTGGCGAGCCTGAGCTTGTCTCAGATGTGCTGATGTCTTCTCCTTGGGGTTGCACATTATCCATCTGAAATCTTTTGGGATTCTTTGCCCACATCAGAAGTTGCAACCTGCTTTGATGTAACCTGGCATTACCATTTCAGAGGTTCAGCAGCCTGAGAGAGGTGCAGATGCTTCACGGGTCATACCAAGCCCCAGCACAGAAAACAAACATCCTGTTCAATTTTTTTTTAGGATCCATATATGGAGAATATGCATTTAAGTAACTAGTCTGTCACAACTTTCTTAGTATAATTATATCAAAACTTCTTTCTAGCTATGACCCACATTGTCAGAAAGAGCTCCACTGTACAAGGGGAAGGAACAACTGTTCCCAGAATTATCTACATTCCATTCACTGTTGCTTTGCTAGCTCTAGGCTTTCAGACATGGGTGCTTCAGAATGACTTAGATACACACCACAAGAAACAGGTTTTGAACACATTGCTTTCATATATTAATCCCTTACTCATTTTTTTTTGGCGGGGTGAAATCAAACCATGATGGGATCTATATGCTTCTTGCGACACAGACCACAGTATTAGGAAGTAATTCACACTTTAGCCCTAGGAACTTTTCTATTATTTGTTTTTCTAGCTTCCTTGATAAACTACTGGAAGCTTATGCTGCTTGGATAACTTCTACTCAGCTACAATGCTGAGTAGATTTTTCTCTTATTACAACATTAATTTGGTCAATTCAGTTGGGTTCTAAGTAAGTGGTTTGCTTAATTTATCCTCTTTTCCAAAAGCCACAGCTAAAAATCTCTTGCTCAAAATTAAATTTAGACCCAAATAGGGAATATAACTAGTTAATTGTTCCTCATCAGTGAAGTGAGAAGGAGAGGCACTATGTATGTTTTCCCTTAACTTTATTAAAGAGGTATATTGAAAAATTAAAAACTGGATATATTTAAGGTATAAACTTGATAATTTGATGTATGTATACATTGTGAAATATTTATCACGATCAAACTAACTTATTCATCATGTGAAAGTTACCTTTTGTGTTTGTGTTTGTGTGTGTTGATAACACTGAAGATCTATCATCTTATCAAATTTTGAGTATCCAACATTTTAGCTATAGTCACATTGTTGCACATTAGATCTCCAGAACTAATTTATTTTGCATAACTAAGACTTTGTAGCCCTTGACCAACATCTTCCCATATCACTCCCAACCTACCTGTGAACAGCCACTAGTAACCGTCATTCTACTCTGAATGTGTGAGCTTGACATTTTTAGATTCCACATGTATGTGGAATTATGCAGTACTTGTCTTTCTGCATCTAGCTTATTTCACCTAGCATACTGTCCTCTAAGTACATCCACGTTATTGGAAGTGGCAGATTTCCTTCTTTTAAAGGGTGAATAACACTTCATTGCATAAATAAACCACGTTTTCTTTATTGATCTATCAATAGATATTTAGATGGTTTCTTTATCTTAGCGATTGTGAATTACGCTACAATGAACATGGGACTATAGTTATCTTCTCAAAATATTGATTTCATTTCCATTGGATTTATCCAGAACTGAAACTGCTGGATCATACGGCAGTTCTATTTTTACATGTCTGAGAAACCTTCATATTGTTTTTCATAATTTCTGTGCCAATTTACATTCCCACCAATAGTGTACAAGGGTTTCACTTTCTCCATCACCTCGCCAATAATTATCATTTATTTTGTGACAGTGACTGGCCATTCTAAGAGGGCTAAAGTAATATCTCTTTGTGGTCTTGATTTTCATTTTTCTGATGATTAATGAAATTAAGTACCTTTATATTAATCTGGTAGCAATTTCTCTTCTTTTGAGAAATGTCTGCAAATCTTTACTTGTTTTTAATTCAGCTAATTATATATTTGTTTATATCTTTGTTGTTTTTTTGCTATTTAGGTGTGAGTTCTGTATATATTTTGGATATTAACCTTTTATCAGATATATAGTTTGCAGATATTTTCTCACATTCCCTAAGTTGTCATTTCATTCTCTTTATTGTTTTATTTGCAGCAAATTGTTAATTTGATGGAACTATATTTACCTATTTTGCTTTTGTTGCCTGTGTCTTTGGGGTAATTATCCAAAAAAATTATTGCCTGGACAAATAGCAAGAAGCCTTCCCCCTATCTTTTTTTTCTAGTACTGTTACAGTTTCAGGTCTCACCTTTAAATCTTTAATCCATTTTGGGTAGACGTTTGTAAATAGTGAGAATAAGGGTCCATTTAAATTATTCTGCATGGAATGTCCAGTTTTCCCAACACTATTTTTCAAAGAGATTATAATTTCCCTGTATTTTCTTTGCATCCTTTTTAAAGATCAGATAGCCGTAGATCACTGAATTTCTTTATTAGCTCTCTATTCAGTTCCATTGGTTTGTATATCTGTTTTTGTTTAAGTATTATGGTGTTTTGATTACTGTAGCTTTGAAATATATTTTGAAATCAGAGAGCATGTTAGTTCCACCTTTGTTCTTCTTACTCAAGATTGCTTTGGATATTAGGGTATTGGCAGTTTCAGATGAATTTTAGGATTTTTTTTTCTATTTCCATAAAGAAAGTCATTGGGATTTTGATGGGGATTACATTGAATCTGTAGACCACTTTGGGTTGCATGGACATTGCAGCAGTGTTGATTCTTCTAATCCGTGGGTATATGCTGTCTTTCCATTTATCTATCTATTTAATTTCCTTCATCAATGTTTTTAATTTTCAGTGTACAAATATTTTGCCTCTTCAAGTTTATTCCAAAGTATTTTATTCTTTTTGTTTTTGTGAATATTGTCTCTTCCATTTCTTTTTCAAATAATTCATTGTTTTTGTATAGCAACACAAATTATTTTGATGTACTGATTTGGGATCCTGCAAATTTACTAGATTTATTATTTCCAACAGGTTTTTTTGTTGTTGTTGTTGTTTAGTACCTCTACATATATGCAGAGGACCTGAAAATAAAGGTATTTTCTTCAAATAAAGCTAATTTTTCTTTCCAATTTGGGTACCTTTTATTTTATTTTATTTTTTTCTTGTTGAATTGTACTGGCTAGGACTTCAAGTACTAAGTTGAAAAGAAATAATGAGAGTGGATATCCTAGCTCTATACTGGATCTTAGAAAGATTTCAATTTTTTCCATAAATTATGATTTTAGCTGTGGGCTTTTCATATATGACCATAATTGTGTTGAGAAAGCTTCTTTCTATACCTATTTTGTTGAGAGAATTTTACTGATTAATAAATGCTAAATTTTGTCAAATCCATTTTCTGCATCTATTGAGATGATCATATAGTTCTTTTTCATTTTGTTAATTTGTTGTATTACATATGTTAAACGATTCTTGCAAACCAATTGATAAATCTCACGTGGTCATGGTGTATGACCCTTTTAATGTGCTGTTAAATTACTTTTTATAGCATTTTATTAAAGACGTTTGCATCTATGTTCTTCAAGAATATTGACCAATCATTTTCATTTCAAGCAGTGCCTTTGTGTGATTTTGGTATCAGGGTGATTCAGGCCTTATGGAATGAGTTTAGAGGTGTTCCTATTTCTTCTGTTATTTTTGGACAAGTTTAAGAATGATTGATATTAATCCTTCTTTAAATGTTTGGTGGAATATAACCATGAAGATACCTGGTCCTGAGCTTTTGTTTGTTGGGCTTTTTAAAAATTCAATTTCCTCATTTGTTATTGATCAATTCTGGCTTTTTTTTTTTTTTTGAAAAATTTAGATTCGGTAAGTTGTATGTATTTCTAGAAATTTTTTCATTTCTTCTGGATTATCCAGTTTGCTGGCCTATAATTGTGCACAATAACCATAAAAAGGATGCTTTTTGATCCCCTTCATTTCTGAGGCATCCATTGTAGCATCTCCTTTTTTATTACTGATTTTATTTATTTGAGCCATCTTTCTTTTTTTCTCATTCCAGCTAAGGGTTTGTCAATATTATCTTTCACAAAACTAATTTAGTTCTGATGATTTGGTCTATTTTTTCTCTCCAGCTGATTTAGTTATAATCCTTATATTTTTTTTATTCTGCCAACTTTAGGCTTAGTTGGTTTCGTTTTACTCTCTCTAGTTTCTTGAGGCTTAATGTTATACTGTTTATTTGAAATATTTCATCTTTTCTAATATGGGCTTTAACTGCTTTAAACTGTCTTCTTGGGACTGCTTTTGCTGTATCCCAAAAGTTTCGATACAGTTTGATTTTATCTTTGTTTGTCTGGAAATATTCTCTAAATTTCATTTTGACTTCATTTTAACCGAATAGTTGTTCAAAAGAATGCTGTTTAGTTTCCACATATTTCTGGTTATTTCTGTTTTCTTATTGTCTTGCCGTATTCCTTTGCTATTTGATGATTTCTTATAGTGGCTTACTTTGATTCTTTTCTCTTTATCTGTTTTTGAATTGATTATAGGTTTTATCTTTGTGATTAGCTTGAGTCTTACATAAAATATCTTCTATTTTAAGTTGATGAAAACTTAATTTCAATCGTATACCAAATCATTACACTTACTCCTCACCCACATATAATACCCTTGTAATCAGAATTTGATGCTTTCTATATTGTGTATCTATTAATAGATTTTTATATTTTAATGATTAGTTTTTAAAGGAAATTATGGACCCCTATTACAGTGCTACATTAGTCTGCATATGACTGTATATTTAGCCACACCAGTAAAATGTTTGTTTTCATATTATTTCATATGTTTATGTTTTAGTTACAACTTGAAGAACTACCTGAAGCATTTCTCATAAGACAGATCTAGTAGTGATAAACTACCTCAATTTCTGTTTGTCTCAAAGAGTCTTTATTTCTCTCCATTTAAAAGATAATTTCTCTGGGTATAGTATGTTGAATGGTAGATTTTCTCTTTCAGTATTTTGCATATATTATCTCACTTTCTCCTGGCTTGCAAGATTTCTGTTGAGAACGACATTGATAGCCTTATGGTAATTCCCTTGTATGTGATGAATTGCTTTTCTCTTGCTGCTTTCAAAATTATACCTTTGTCCTTGGCATTGTACAATTTGATTGCAATGCTGATATGCAGCATTATGGAAAGATTGCAATAGGATGTGATATGTCAGCATGCCTGTTGCAGTCACGGCTGTAGCACGCAAGGGGCATGTGTCTGTGGAGCAAATGGCTGGAGCACAGGGCTATTTGTTGTGGCAGTGGCTCTGATGTTTATAGCACTTGTGTGCTCTCTGAAGAAGTGGCACCAGTATTTTAGGTGCAGTTGCTCATGGAGAGACTGTGCCTCTGAGATCCCAGCATGCAAGTGGTTGTGGGAGGGACAAGGGTGTAGTCGCTTTGTCCCATAGTGATGGAGCATCAGTTCCTTTTCTCAAAAGATGCAGGGGTACTTCCCTTTCTAGAATGTTTGGGACAGCTATGGCTCTTGATGTCTTTAATAGCAAAGATTGCTTGGGTGTTCTGTAGAGCAGGCTGTTAGGGCATCCACCCAGTGGCTGCTACTAATAACCTCTACTCTTCCTCTTTGTTTCTAGCCATCTTCGCACTTCCTTACTATGTTAAACTTCCCAGCCATCAGGCCGGGCGCGGTGGCTCACGCCTGTAATCCCAGTATTTGGGAGGCCGAGGCAGGCAGATCACGAGATTAGGAGATAGAGACCATCCTGGCTAACACGGTGAAACCCCGTCTCTACTAAAAATACAAAAAATTAGCCAGGCATGGTGGCGGGTGCCTGTAGTCCCAGCTGCTAGGGAAGCTGAGCCAGGAGAATGGCGTGAGCCCAGGAGGCGGAGCTTGCAGTGAGCCGAGATCGCGCCACTGCACTCCAGCCTGGGAGACAGAGTGAGACTGTCTCAAAAAAGAAAAAACAAACAAAAAAAAAAAAAAAAAAAAAAAAAAACAGCAACAAAAAACTTCCCAGCGATCTGGGAGGGGTGGGATGAAAGCAGGTCCTTTGAATATTGCCCAAAAAGTCTGAAGAAACTAATTGTTGACTGCTCCCCTTGTTATTGAAAAGGAAACTCGTGGGCTGGGAAATCCCTCTTTGCATTGAGCTGTGTGATGGGATGATGCGGGCAAAATGGAACTCCTTATCCTATCCTTTTAATATAATTAGTCTTTTTTCTTTACTGTGTTGCTGCAGCTTTTTAACTGAACTCCTGAGCTATCCAGAAATAGTTTTCATTCATGGATGGCTGGATAATTTTTTTATGTGGGGCGCGGGGGGGGAAGGCAGGAACCTCCTACTGTTCCACTTGCTGATACCACCTCATGCTCATCCAGGAACTGTTTTAACTTATGCAGCTCATTAAAAAAAAAAGAAAAAAAAAACTTAGTAAAGACTTAAACACATTAAAGAAACATTTGCTCTTCATCTAACTACCACCTTGACTTCAATATTTATGGAAGATAGGATGAGGTGGAATTTCTTTCCACATAACATGGGAAAAGAGGAGAAAACTAACGAATAATCCATATTTACTGCATAACATTAGGAGTTGTGGTTCTATTAGATGGTATGCACTTACGGCAGGAAAGCCTTAAGAAAGTGCAGATTTTAAAATGTCTGTTTAATATCCTCTGGTGAGGATTGAGGTCTGACTTTGATAGTTATAGTCTCACTGTCGTAATTCTAGAAATTTTAGAGAAAATATGGTACTTCTATTAGGCTGTATGCAACATTAATGATCATCTTGTATTTTATTCAGTTATTCTTTCATTTAACAAATGTTTACTGTCGACTTGTTATGTATTAATATGAATAAGCATTCATATAAGGTATTTGGGTTTTGTTAACAAACGAAACAAACCAATATTCACAAACACCTGGCTTACATTCTAGCTGTCAGAAGTTGTGAAGAGAAGATGGGCAATAAATAATAGAAAGATAATACAAAAAGAATTATAGAGAATGTTAGAAGGCGATGATAGAAAATATTTATGACACTTATTAAAGCATGGTACACAGATTTTATTCAGGATCGTCATGATAGATGTAGAAACCATTGCATTGGGTTTTGGGTGCAGCTTAGGAGTGAGATTAGGGTCAAGTCTGAATACCACAAAGAAAATTGGGAATTTATATCCAAGGAGTTGGGTGAGGAAAAGCAAGAGGTCACTGGATGGAAAATTACTAATAGGAGACATCAAGAGAAGGTGAAGTTTCTTGCTACAGGCAGGCCGGGATAAGCAGACATTGACTGGTGATTGGTGACGAGGAACCCAGTGAGACAGTAAGGGTGATTAGGTATTGACGACAGAGGATTCGAGCGAAATTGACTTAGCAGGATTCTTGCTAAAACTGGGAAATGCAGAGACAAACATAAAGCCCAAAATCATTGGCTAGTTTAAAGGAGAGTTCAGGAGAGCTTAAATAGCTTTTGGCCAAAGATAGAATATTTGTCAGGCGTAACTGCTGCGAAATAAAAGGTGCAATTAGAAGTAGAAATAGGAATCAGTAGTGTAGGGACCAGAACAAGGAAATGTGTGATATTAAATAGAGAGTCGAGTTGGCATGGCAGCCGTGATATTAGAGTGTCCAATTCTAAACAATCCACCTGGTGAGGTAAATGCATATATTAATTACTTCAATTTAACCATTCCACAGTGTATGCATAATTCAAAACAACATACTCTGTGCAATAAATATATGCAATTATAATTTATAAATTAAAAATCAGAAGAAAGAAAGAAGGAAAAAAGGAAGGAAGAAAGAAAGAAAGAAAAAGAAAGAAAGAAAGAAAGAGAAAGAAAAAGGAAAACAAAAAAACAGAAATCTACCTGCGATATATAGATTTCCAAAAGCACTAGTTTAATTTTTCCCTGAGGAGTAAAACTGCATTAGAGGAAAGGCACAGATAGTTTGGATTCAATTTTTTTCTCTCAGTTTTGCTTGAGAGGAGACAGTATTCTGTCATTTCTCGCTTAAAGAGAAGAATCAAACCACTTATAAAAGGTAAATCCATTGTTATGTAAATAAGTTACAAAAGAAAACTGTTGCAAAATGCCAACAGGATTAGAGATGTGACAAAGAATATATCTTATCCTGATTTCAGCTTGTTTTATTTTCATTCTTAACATCCAAAGGCATTTTTTTTTTGCTAACTTGTAAGAAACTGTGAACATAGCATGAGAAAATTCTGATGGAATATGGAAGACATAAAGAATGTATAGAGTACAGTTATTTATTTTTAGTGACCATAGTGATATCAAAAAATTATATAAATATTTTTTATCTTTATAAATGAAAATACTTTGGATTTAATTTATATTGATAATAAATGTTGGAGATTAGAGGTAGCAGTATATATAAAAATTAAGAGTCAAAATTTTAAAAGGTAAACAATCAAAAGTTAAACCTTAAACACATTATTTTTTACACTCAAAATAGATTATATGAACTGAATATTTACAAACAATTGAAAATAAAGTACAACATTTTAGCCACAAGATTATTTGAATAAAACTATGTCATGTATTTTTGGTTGGAAAAAACGTTTTGATGCATGTTTTTTTTAACCATTAAAACAGGATAACTATGTGGTGTAATATATATGTTAATTATGTAGAGGTAGCCATACCACTTTGCATATATCCTTCAAAACATCATACTGTACATGATTAATACATACAATTTTGTGTCAATTGAAAAAATAAAATAATAAAAAGAAGTGTAATTAATATGTATTAAATTCCAAAACTAGGTATACTTGCAAATTTAGTTTATAGTCCTTTTTCTGTATCATTTATTGTCCTAACTTAATTAGACTATATAAATATCAGGGGAGGGCTTTTTAACTTAATAACTGAAAATCATTGATTGAGCCAAGTCTATTTCAGCAAATAGTGGTTTATGGGTAGTATTTCACAATTCATCGGCACTTTACTAAGACGAAATTTTTCTTTACTTTCAACAACATTTTCTTGACTGCCATAACCTATAATAAATATACATGTTGAAGAAAAATTAACAGGAATGTCTCCTTTTTCTTCTGCCAAAACACATCCAATGATGCTTACATGGCAGTGCAGTTACTTTGGATAATATGATCCTGAACAACCATGTTAAACTTGTTAAACATATCATTGAACTCTCCTTTCAAAATTATGTTTAGAAACAGTTTGTAACTAAAGAAAGTAAAATATATAAATGGATACCTAGTCAGATGAGTAGGTAGATAGATGATATGTAGAGAAATAACATATAGTCTGCATTCTAAGAATTTATACTCTTTGTTTGTTTGTTTGTTTGTTTTGGTCAAAATACAGTGTAGTCACTTACCTCAATCACTTATTAATCATTTTTCCCTACAAATTGCTACATGTTTCCAACCATCCAGTGCAACTACCAAAGATGACTTTGTCATCAAGGGTTTACAAAACAACCATCTCTCACTTCTGATCTGCCAGAATGGTTCTGGTAAAAATGGTAACAATTTTGGCATGATAATTAAACTATGAGAAGATGACTTTTAGAGTTTCCATATGTATTTTTGTATGTACATTTTGTTTAATGTAATTGAAGCACTCCATAGTAATCAAACATCAGTAAGCATATCTGATGTATCTATGTCAAAAAGGTTCCCAGTAGTAAGATATAAAGTACTCCTACAGGCAACTGTGATTAGATGGATTTTCTAATCCATGTAAGGAACATGGTATACATATTCTTTCTATTGAAAAAGCAAAACTAGCATCAATAGACAGAGGAAAATCACTAAGCACTTATTAGCTATTCTAGATTAGTATTTGATTTTCTTTGTCTTTGTTCTCATGAGTAAATTAGTAATAATGTGTAAACATTGTGTTATATCACCTCACAGGAGTATTTTGAATTGAAAATAAGGTTATGTTAGGAAATTTGGTAAGCTTTAAACCACTATAAAAATTATGAGCACCCACCAAATACATTCTTTTTTTTCTTTCTTTTTTTTTTTTTTTGAGATGCAGTTTAGCTCTTACTGCCCAGGCTGGAGTGCAATGGTGTGATCTCTGCTCATTGCAACCTCCGCCTCCCGGGTTCAAGCAATTCTCCTGCCTCAGCCTCCCAAGTAGCTGGGATTACAGGCATGTGCCACCACGCCAGGCTAATTTTGTATTTTTAGTAGAGACAGAGTTTCTCCATTTTGGTCAAGGTGGTCTCGAACTCCCAACCTCAGGTGATCCACCCACCCTCAGGCTCCCAAAGTGCTGGGATTACATGCATGAGCCACTGCACCCAGCCTATCCAAATACATTCTTTGGGAGAATATTTCTTGCTAAGCTGATTATATTATTTAGTCATCTGGGCACATGATAACATAAAACAATAAGAAAAATGCTAACTTTTGCTTATGATGTTACTTGTGCTTCTCTAGGCAGTTTTTTATGTGCTTTGCATATACTACATTATTTAATCTTTATAATAGCCTTACGACCAAATGAGAACTCATGACCCACATTTTTCTAAAGGAAGAAATTGAGTCGTAGGGAAGTAATTTCCATAACGCCATAGAGTTAATCCAGTGAGAAGAGGATTTGGACCCTATCACTCTGTAGAGCTCATGTTTTTAATCATTAAATATTTTCAATACAACCTAGTTATCTGGTGGGGAAATAAAAAGAAAAGAAAGCATCATCTGACTTTAGTAAATAACAACGTTGTTATTCATCAAAATATAATTATTTACAAGCATTTTCTTTCACACAGTTAAAACAATTCTGCAAACATAGCTTCATGTAATATTAGATGAGACAAAAATAGGTTTTCAATTCAATTTCTACATGCCACCACAAGCTTATTTTGGGGAAAAGGGATTTCTCTTGAATTTGATCACTAGCAAATTCCCATTAGTTGGATATTAGATGGCCAATGTTTCCAAAGTACAAGTAAGAAGTTACTAAAGTGATATCATTACACCCAGAATCTTCTCAACCATTTCTACCAGGGCCTACAAGGTTTGGCAGTGGCCAGGAATGGTGGCTAATACTTGTAATCCTAGCACTTTGGAAGACTGAGAGGGGTGGATCCCTTGAGCTCAGGAGTTCGAGGCCAGCCTGGGCAACATGATGAAACCCCTTCTCTACTGAAAATACTAAAAAATTAGGTGGGTATGGTAGTGCGCACCTGTGGTCCTAGCTTTCTTGGAGGCTGAGGTGGGAGGATCGCTTGAGCCTGGGAGGCAGAGGTTGCAGTGAGCTGAGATTGCACCACTGCACTCCAGCCTGGGTGAGAGAGAGAGACCCTGTCTCAATTAAAAAAAAATGAAAACAAATCAAAAACAAGTTTCGGTAGCCAGAAAAGTAATTTAAACATGAAGTAGGAGAGACACTTCCCCTTCCCTCCCCACCCCACTATGCCTCATGGTCAAAATAATTTTATAAAGAAATGTTTGTAATAATTTCTTTTGAATTAATATAGTTATATAATATAAAAATGTAACACCATGCCATCGGTGAGAATATCCATTTGGGAACTGTTTTCTGTACTTATTTGTATTCTGAGCACTTAACACTTGATAATGCAATCAACGTTCACTGAATTAATGACTTCATTAAATGAAGTAAGTGAATTATTTTGGTGATTTCTAATTTGTTGGAATTTTGTCCTTTTAGCATGCAAAATGCAATTGGGAGAAATAAGCTGTATTTAATATTTGTGGACAGGTACAGATTATGCTGATATCTGTATCATTATTAAATTCCGTTCCATAGCAAGAATGAAGTGTAAAAGTTGAAGACACTACGTAGTAAATCCACTAGAGAAGAAAGAAGCATCACAGAAATCAGTATGTATAGGAATTTTCAAACATTTTCTCTGAATACGACAAGGGACTAAATAAGCACGCTGAAGGCCAGTTAATGCAGTGTGAATGAGCACACTACGTTGGCCACTACTCACACCACCACACTGTATTTTCTAATTAGTGACCTCCTCCAAGAGTCTGAAAACGATCTTTGCAGCCAGCTGATGCAAAACAGCAGCTAGTTGGAGTATACAAACAAGAGCATGGGGTGATGCTTCAGTGGAAGAGGAAGCACCTGTAGAACACAGAGGGGGCACAAATAAAACCAGTTTCTTCACCTGAACCACAGTGCCCAGTTAAAGAGGAAAGATAGAACATGAGTAAGCTTTTAAGTGTTCTATAATCCCAGGTGTTTGTAACTCATAATATGGATCACAGGATAATTAAATGAAATATTTGCAAAAAGCACTTTAACATATTACCTGGTACATGGAAGGTATTCATAATTATGCGCATACCTTAGAGATAAATGGGTGACACTCATGATAACAGGTAATAAGGGTTTGATAATATAGTTAGGATTTTAGGAAAATATTCAAGAAAAAAAGAGATAGCCCTGTGTTTGGAAATAACAATGACATGAAAACTTTAGAATCATCAGCCAGAAGAAACCCGGAAAGAATTAAGGCAAAATAACTGTACATTTGGGTAAGAAAGTGTGGAGTAGTCAACCTGTGAAAAATGTGGTTATAAATGCATCCAGTTGGAATTGTAAACAAAAAAGACACATTTCTAGAACTATTAATACAAATAATGATATTGCTAACGCTAGGGTGAACAAAACAAATAGCTCACCATTCTGAATTCACTGACTGGGGGCGAGGAAGGAATACAAATCAGAGAACGGTTCAGGAATTGTGAAGTTTCAGACTTATATGTCTGCTTTGGAGAAAATATGTCCATTTCTGAACAAAATTAAAAAACAGAAAGTACTCTTTATTTTTTTAAAGCAGATGATAATTATACTGGGCTTTTACCATGTGGTATACACTGCTGGAAAATGTTTTCATAAACTGACTAATGTAATGTCACATTGATCATATAAATATGAATTATTAGGTGTTTTCATATAGAGTGGAGGAAAATTATGTAAGGAAATGGTGGAACCAAGGTTTCATTGCAGACAATTGGCTCTACTACTCTAAACCCTCAACTATACTGTATGACCGAAATAAATCATTTATGAAATTAGTCTACAGATATAACCTAGAAAAAAATGGCTAAAACATGCAATTAATGACCAAAAAAAGTGGAATTGCCAAGTAAAAGAGACAGAAATCCTTCCAAATAATAAAGGAAATAGATATTTTTAAATAGTTCATTACACATATAAATGCCAATGATAGGATAAGATGTGATACTACCTTTCAGTGATTTTAAATGTAGTTATTGGGTGATGGTTAATATCTTCCCGTAGTTCAAAATTACATTATTATCTTGTCTTTAATTTTTATAAATTAATTTTAGGATTTTTAACAGACTTCATAAGTCTTTCAATAAAGTTTTAAGTATTTTTTTTTGTGGAATATAGTAAAGCTTCTTGACCAAGCCTGTAACTTGAAAATCGCTTCAGAATTTGCCAACTGTTTGGTTAAGTGACCTTGCCAAAGATACCTTAATAGAAAGATTAAGAAATAAAAATATATTTCTTAAACGTAGGACTTAAGTAAATACATTGCTACAGTTTAATACATGATCAAAGAAAAAATTGACAAATCGAGAGTCAGCTTGATTCTCAAATGCCAAAACAAGGGATCAAAATGGAAAAGCATTATGTTTCACTTATATTGTGCCACTGCTTCCATTTTAACTGAGAATATGTAAAAATTTGCATTTGTTACATCTTCTCAATTATTCATATGCGTGAAATATTTCAGGCTTATGATCGACTTGTACTCAAATGTGGTGCTCTCTCTTTAGTTAATTCCCTTTAGAATTATCTCTGAAAGGGAAATAGCACAGAGGAAGATGCCTAAACTCCTGCTTGGTGAGATCATGCAATAACTTTGATAAATGGTGCTTGAGTCAGTGAAAAGACATTTATAGGTTCTCTGGAACCCTAAGATTGAAGAGCATTAAAATAAGCAGTGAAAGGTGCTAAATCAACAAAAGTGATACAATTTCTGGTTTTATTTTAAGAGAAAAACAGTCTCTATATAACTAAATCAATGCCTCATTTAGCCCTTCTTCCTTAGCCATTATTTGCCATGTTAATTCCCTTTCTAGTTCAGGTCTTGCTCTATAATCCTGTCGGGTTCTTCCCCTGTTTTCTAATAGAGCTCATTCTTCAAATTTTAAATAACTCTTTGCAAATTTCCAAATACATCTAGGGGACCCGTTCATTCTATTCAGTCTGCATTATGTTACTTTCTTTAATGCAGCCTTTGCTTTACTTACTTTATAGGCTGCCTTAGGTGCCTACTTCTATTACTTCCTGCTAGATCCCCCTACTAAGAAATAAGATAGAAAAATATTGAATGACTAGTGAGTGGGCGAAGCAAGGCCTTGGCCTGAGAATTAGATAGTAGCCACTTCCAAACTCTAGTATCATGGACCACCTGACAAAATACAAGCCTTCTTAGCAGCAAAACCAAAACAACACACACACACACACACACCCCAATGGATCCTTGCTAAACCCATTATTCCATTTGTAACTTCAGGAAATGTTGAAATATTAAGAATACAAAGCTACCATAGCAAATGTTTTATATATCAGATATTAGTTCACATAGGATATAGATTAACAAAGGAAGGGCCACATTGATAACTAATGAATGAGTAGCCAAGGGGGATAAGGATGGATATCTTAAATCAATAACTGAATAAAAAATTTAAAAAATCTACATCCTGGCCAGGCACAGTGGCTCACACCTGTATTCCCAGCACTTTGGGAGGCCGAGGCTGGTGGATCACCTGAGGTGAGGAGTTCAAGACCAGGCTGGCTAACATGGAGAAACCCTGTCTCTACTAAAAATTAAAAAAACAAATTAGCCGGTCATGGTGAAGGGCACCTGTAATCCCAGCTACTTGGGAGGCTGAGGCAGGAGAATTGCTTGAACCCGGGAGGTGGAGGTTGCAGTGAGCCAAGATCGCACTGTTGCACTCCAGCCTGTACGATGGAGTGAGACTCTGTTTCAAAAAAATAAATAAATAAATAAAAATAAAAAATCTATGTCCTCCTACTCTTTTAAATTAATTTTCTTCTACAAATTTTTTTCTTCACTTTTGTGATATGTTGTCTATTTTTCTAATTATATGTAAATGATCCCTATATAGTGTGAAAAGTCTTTCAAATTTGGTTGAAAAAAATTTATATAGTCAACCTCTTATTGTGCTATCTGATTAAATTTGAAGTATACCTTGATAACCTAAAGGAGTAATTCAGCTAATTTGTTCAACCAATAGACATATTTATATAAACAGACAAAGTAATATATGCAGTCGAAATATCCAGTCTTTGATTGTTTTATATTCATTAAGATTAGATAGATTGACTTTTATCTCACTTGCCTCTTTAAAAAGATAACTCTTGCAGCCTGATTGGTAATTTTTTAGTATATGATTCAGGGAATGAAGATTCAAGAGGGAGCAATTTAGACCATTAACTGTAATAAGTGGCCCTTTCTTCATTATGTTGGGCAAGAATGAGTTCATTTTCATCTTTTTTGTTCATAGTTATCATTATTGTCTTGACTCACCAGCCCAGACCTTTCTGTAGAGTGTCAGGTGTTCAACTTTCCATCAGACTTTCACATAGATACCTCTCTTAAGCACATGAAAGTCAAAATATCCCAAATTAACACTCTCTTCACTGATCTTTACCTGATACTTCTCATCTTGTAGAGGTTTCCCCACTGACTCAGATACTTAAGCCAAATACCTGAGTGTCATTAGAATCACTCCCTTTTCCTCATCCTCTACTTCCAACCAGTCTTCTTATGCTTAAAAATTCACTTAACGTAACATTTTCTTCATTTCATATCCACTATTAAATTTAGGGCAGACTGCCACAGTTCTCATTATGATGTCTCTGACTCCATTCCTCACACTGCTCAGGCCATATCATACTTTACTTAGCAACAGCATTTATCGCAAGGGAACAATTTCTATCCCTTGAAATACTGGTTGGTTTCTAGAATGCCACACCCTCTTAGTTTTTTTTTTTTCTTTCTGAATGATCAGTGGGCATCTTTTGCTTTTACCTTTTCTCTCAATCTTATGTGTCAGTATCCAGTATTTGAGCCTCTTTCTATACATACTCATTTCTATGCTAATTTCATAAGGTTAAGGGCTTTAAGTAGTATCTTTATGCTGGTCATATTTATATTACTATTTTAGCTTGCTCCTCTAAAAACCAGTGTATGTTATGCCAGCTGAATATGTCTGCTTGAGTCTCTGAGACATAATCTCAGAGTAGATCCAAAATTGAACTCCTGATTTCCAACCACCTCCCCACAAACAGTTCATCTCACAGTTTTCTGTATTCTAGGTCAAACACTTTGGATCATCCTTCATTCCTGTTTTCCTTTCACACCACATGACTATGACATCAGGAAACCCTACCGTCAACATATATCCAGGACTTCACCACATCTCCTCACTTCTATTTTAACTAACTTTATTTCATTTCTCTTTTAACCTATCTCCTTAATTCTATCATTGTTCCACACAATTTATTCCCAAAGCAACTTTCAAAACAATCATGTTAAAATATATAAAATCATGTCACTTGTATTAGTCTGTTTTCACACTGCTGGCAAAGACATACCCAAGACTGTGCAATTTATAAAGAATAAGAGACTTAATGGACTCACAGTTTCACGTGGCTGAGGAGCCCCCACAATCATGGTGGCAGGCAAAAGGCATGTCTTACCTGGCAACAGACAAGAGAGAATGAGAATCAAGCGAAAGAGGAAACCCCTTATAAAACTATCAGATCTCGTGAGACTTAGTCACTACATAAGAACAGTATGGGAGAAACCACCACCATGATTCAAGTATCTCCCACCAGGTCCCTCCCACAACACGTGGGAATTATGGGAGCTACAGTTCAAAATGAGATTTGGGTGGAGACAGCACCAAACCATATCATCACTCCTCTGCTCAAAACTTGCCAATGGCTTCCCATCTTACTTACAAACAAAGCTAACAGCATGATAGTGATGTGCCTGCTCTTAATTACCTGGCCCATCATCATCATTCTGATATCATCACTGGTTCTTTCTGTTACTTTTACCTTAGATATTCTGGTCCCATGAATGTACCTGAAATAGCCTAGAAAGCACCCACATTAGGGCATTTGTGCATATGATTCTTTTTTGCCTAGACCTCTCTATCACTTCTTTTAAGTAAGCCTGTTTATTGCTAGCAGTCAGTGGCATGCCAGTAAATATTTAACAACCAGAAATATGTATGCATGTATATAAGTGTATGTTTATATAAATTTTACAGATATAAAAGATATGTAGCACACAATTTACAAGCAATTATAGAATATATATTACTCTTGATTGGAAATTCCACATAGTCAATTGATTTTTACAGAATATTTACATTGATTTTTACTGAACTCTTGCATCCATAACCAATCAGTTGTTGCAATCTGTTGAATACTGATAATATTTTATTGCAAATAAATGCTTGATTACTATCTGATTCAGCAAAGAAGTTGCTCAGTTCATTGGCAAGTAAGTTTTGTTCTGGCTTAGGTATTGGCTAATATTTTTACTTACGTAAATGTGTAGATAAATGATGTTCGTCTCAATTTCACTTGTTCATCAATATGAGCTGCATTTTGCTAAGCTAAAAATCATTTTTATTATTTAGGATACTATTTCTTCAATGTTTTGTGTTCCTTGCAATGTAATGGTTACTTTGGGGTTTAAACTGCTTTAGTTGTTTTCTCCTTTACTTTCTCAAGTCTAGACAATCACCAGATCAATACATCCACTGCCACTGATTTTCAAGTTACCAAGGTGACACGATTGAACATGGAGTTGAGAAAAGATGAACACATTGTTCTATAATATTTACACCATACAGATAAAGTAGACATAAATAACATCAAAATTATAGATAATGGTAAAATATAGTAACACAATTTGAAAGTAGTGAGTTTTCAATATTTATTACTTTTTAAAGTGAAAGGGAACTTTTAAGTTTATATAATTTAATGTTTAATTATAATTATATCTATGAGCCAGCTCTCGAAATTTTTGAAAGCATAATAATCAGCACTTGTGACCCAGAACTAGCTAATTCCAGCATATCACTATTATAGTCCTAGTTAAAACCATAAGCCCAAACTAAATGTTTAATTTTCCTCAGCAATTAACAACAACTAATCTGCTATATATGGTATTATTAGGTATGATTTAATTATCTTTTTTTTTTTCACTAATCTGCCTTTCCTAGAATGTCAGTGTTGTGAGGGCAGCAATTTTCTCCACCTAGAATAGTGCCTGGATTCAAGAGGGCACTCTATAGCTACCAACTGAAGGAATTAATAACTGTTTATAGTTCTCAGAATAAAGGAATCCAAGGCCACTCTTCATGATCTCACACTTGCTTAACCTCTATCCCAATTGAAGGAATGAATAACTGTTTATAGTGCTCAGGATAAAGGAATCCAAGGCCACTCTTCATGATCTCACACTTGGTTAACCTCTATCCTTAGGGAACCCACACAAAAGTCTTTCTCCATCTCCATGTTTTCTCTGGCGTTGTGTTCTTTCGCACATCTGTTTTTCACATCTTGTGTGCTCTTCTTGAGTGACTTCAGGCCCTTTTTGGTCAAGTCAACACTTGTGATTTTGCTTAACTAATATCTTTAATATGGGCTCAAAGAACAAATTTACACAGTCAATATGTTTTTATTTTTTTCTTGGTGCTATTTGTTATTTTGCTTTAGTGTTGTCGCTTGAGTGGTGTCCTCTCCCCATGAAAAAGTCGTATATTGAAGCCCTAGCCCCCAGTAACTCAGAATGTGACCTTCTTTGGAGTTATGGGTTTTACAGAAATCATCAAGTTAAAGTGACATGCTGTGGTGTTACAGGGCTTTTCCTTAGTTCAGCTAAAGACAGGTCCTTGTCCCACAGCCTTGAAAGTTTAGGCTGGCAGATGCTTTTAAGGGTGAGTAACACAAGGCTTTATTGAGTGAAAAGGAAGAAAAGGGGGGAAAAGGGACTCTCTTCAAGGCCTGAGTCCTTGCTAGAGTGCTTTCTGCCTCGTTGTTTGAATCCCAAGTTCCACCCAGGAAAAGGAGGGGCCAGGCTTCTCCTCCCTGCTGCAAATGGGGTGAACTTCTGTGGCTCTACCCCAGTGCACAGGCCAGTTGGAGTTTTGCCAGGGACCCCCTCCCATCTGGCTGTCTCAGTGGGCCATAATCCATTATGATTGGTGCCTTATGAAAAAAGGAAATTTGAACATAGAGATACACACAAAGGAAAGATGATTTGAACATATGGGGAAAAGTCCACGTGAGTAGGAAAACAGCCAATGATAAGCCAGGGAGAGAGGCTTGGGACCGAGCAATCCCATACTGCCCCAAGAAGAAAGCAACCCTGCCAACACCTTGATTTCAGACTTCTAGATTCCAGAACAGTGCAACAATACTTTTTTGCTTTTTTTTTGTAATCACTCAGTTTGTGGTATTTGAGGACAATATGATTTGCAGATTGTTTTAGGCAATGAGGGCACAGCAATGAAAACACAGTAAACAAAGATCCTTGGTCTTGTAGAGCTTTTGTTCTAGTGGGGAAAAAAAAAACAAATAATTTGTCAAAAACAAGAATTAAATTTGCATGAAAATAAGAAATTAATGTAATGGCAATACAAAACAAGGCAGTAGAATTGAGAAAGACAAGGAAATAATCTCTCAGAAGGATAGGCATAATTGCCTGGGGCCAGTATTACTGAGGGTGGTATGAGGACAGCAATTACCTGTTGGATGTGGCAACATGAGAACCACAGAAAATAAGAGCATTAACCACAACTAATCTGCTATATATGGTATTATTATGTATGATTTAATTATCTTTTTTTTTTTTTCACTAATCTGCCCTTCCTAGAATGCCACCGTTACAAGGGCAGCAATTTTCTCCACCTAGAACAGTGCCTGGATTCAAGAGGGCATTCTATAGCTACCAATTGAAGGAATGAATAACTGTTTACAGCTCTCAGGATAAAGGAATCCAAGGCCACTCTTCATGATCTCACACTTGCTTAACCTCTATCCTTAGTATTTTCAGTGTAGCATGCAACCTTAATCAACATCGGAAGGGCTTGTACTAGAGATTAAGGGGAACAAAGCAGGTTTGCTGTCTGGTAGACATAGAGACGTGTGGTCCTGAGCTTCCTTTAGGGAAAAACTTGCTCTCCAGCATGGGGAGTGCATTCAGCAGCACACTTCCAGCTGTCAGCTCCTTCAGAACTATCTCAACCTTTCCTGAAGTGGCACCATTTCCAGGACAGCACTCATCCAGTGACAGAATGAAGGAGGGTGTATAAAGTTCTGGCTACTTTGGCCCAATTCTGGACTCTACTTAAAACTATATGCTAAAGGAAAAAAGCATATACATATCTCTGAAATCTTAATAATTTTAGGAATCAGATATATGTGTTTACTTCAGTGCTGCATATTTGCTACATGTGACATAAATAACATGTATATGATATGTAGGCATGCTTTAATAATATTCATATATTGTATATACATATAGCATGCCTAACATGACAGCCAACTTGCTGGAAAGTGGCCATGTCTTTTTAGATTAATGAGTATGGCAGCCAGGGTGGTGGCTCACACCTGTAATCCCAGCACTTTGGGAGGCTGAGGCAGGCAGATCACCTGAGATCAGGAGTTCAAGACCAGCCTGGCCAACATGGCAAAGCCCAGTCTCTACTAAAAATACAAAATTAGCTGGGCATGGTGGTGCACGCCCGCAATCCCAACTACTCGGGAGACTGAGACAGGAGAATCACTTGCACCCAGCAGACAGAGTTTGCAGTGAGCCAAGATGGCGCCACTGCACTCTAGCTGGGGGAACAAGAGTGAAACTCCATCTCAATAATAATAATAATAATAATAATAATAATAATAATAATAATGGAGTGTGACATAATGCATTATAAATTAAATCATGATATAAAAGAGAAATAAATCATTTTTTATAAATTAGGAAACCAGATGTCACAATAACTAAATTGGTAATGCAGGAGAAATCATCAATGTTCAGTTACTTATGGACCTATGTTGTCAATTATATCATTACTAATGGAACTAGATGGTCATTGATATATGTATATACTTATATAGTAGTGTTTTAATATATTTAAAATTATATGACTCTAAATATAGTTGTCTCAACAACACGTATTCCAAGTGTTTTTGTGACATTCATATTAAATACCCTTTCTCTAATAGTAACTGTGACTAAAAAAATCTACATAAAGCATCTCATCTTTTGAACTCATTTAAACCATCAAAGCAAAAACCAAAAAAAAGCAGAATAAGATAAAAATATGCCAATGAATAAATAAGCATCATATGTCTATATGATAATATTTCTCATATGGGTTTGCAATTTGAGCACACAAATTTTTTATAAGCCACATGAATAAGCTATTTTGGGAAATCATACTTAACTAAATCTAGAAATGAAATATAACTTGTATAGGATATTTAAATGTTTTTAGTTATCTTTCTAATTTTCTTGATTAATAGTATCCCATAAATAGCATAGATAATCTCAATACTCCCCATAGAGTGTAAGTTTCCTGATGCTAAAATTCTTTATAACTATTCATTAATTACAGGAAGTCGTGTTCTATGTGTTGACTAAACAGCAATTATTTGGAGGTCAGGTTCATTTTCCTTCACTTGCTTATCCTCTAAATACAACATATACCTGAACTCATGAAATATGCTTACAATGGACCATAGCTGAAATATTCCATTTGTGAGTTATGTTTGTTTCTCTATATGTCATGCACTCCATTTCTGGAGAGAGACAGTGAGAGGAAGAGAGGCAGAAAGAGAGGAAGGCAAGAGGACATGGTAGGTACACAATATATAGTATGATTTAATGGTCTTAGCAATTGATCTAGAAAACCAAACATAACTGGTTTTCCTTTGGGGTAAATCAAACTACTATGGAGAGCTTTCAAAACAAGAATTTTGGAAGCCAGGAAATTTAGCAGGGATTGTCTAGGCAATTTCTTAATCCGTATGACGTTGGTTTGGAATACTGGGTAAAGCATCCATCTGACATATCAACTTGTGTGGAGGTTCAAGGATGGGTCCAGGGAAGTTCAAGGATGGGTGCAGTGAGATGCCTAGTGCCTTAGTAGGAACAGCTAGGAGACTAGGCCCAGCTGGATGCCTCACTTTCTCCATGTGATTGCAGAGCCTCTCTACATGGTGTCATTAACAATCTAGCTAGATCACTTACCAGAAAGCTCACAGGCTAAAGAGATCAAGGCAGCAGCTTCTAAACCCCTCAAGAACAGAGCAAAAACTGCTAATGTCACTTTCATTGTACTGCCTTGATTAAAGCAGTCACAGGCCAGCACAAATTTAAGGAGAAGGCAAATAGACCCAGATGACTGATGGGACTATTGTCAAAGAATTTATAGGAGGCTTCGTTAATCCCTCAAGCCAAGATCATTTTCTCTAAATGGTAGCGATAGTAGCATTGATAGTTGGTTCTCTACAGAGAGAAGATCCTAAGGGCTAATGGCCACTTGAAACAAGATGGACCTTATTTTTCCAGTTCTCACTCTTTTTTCTGTTATACAAAAGACTGTATCCTGAGCAGTTGGCATCAGAACTTTCAGTAACCCGAGTTTACTTACCATGTTTCTGCCATCTCTTGAAGGAAATTCCCTACAATGCGGACCTTTGATTCCAATGCTGTTAGAATCTAACCTGGCCAGGAGAGGCTGCTTCTGAAATCACATTGCCAAGGTACAGACATCCTTTCAAAGTCTATTTGAGGGTCTGTTGGCCAACAGTAGAGAAATATTTGAAGCAGGATCCCATAGCTGTTTCTTTCTTATTTTTTCATCCAGAAACAACAATTATTAAGACAAATGTGTGAATGATTTCATGAATGCACACATGGCAACAGAATTCTATATGCTCCATCAACTCTGGAAAGCAGAAGGATGTGACTAAGAGCACAAAAAATAATGTCCCATTCAATATATAGTTACTGGCTGCATTATTTACTGTTTTATTTTATTTTGTTTTTTAATTGTGGTAATGGCACTTAATGAGAACTACCTTTTAAACAATTTTTAAGTGTCCGATACAGTATCATTAACTGTAGGCACAGTGTTGTACAGCCTTTAGAACTTATTCATCTTGCACATCTAAATCTTTATACACATTAAACAGCAACAACTCATTTCCCTCTCACTCAGCCCCTGGAAAACCACCATTTATTCTATTCTTGACACTGTGAGTTTGACATTTTCAGATTCCTCATATAAGTAAGATCATGCAGTATTTGTTCTGTTACTGGCTTATTTTACATTACATAATGTCTTTGAGGTTCATGCAGCAGTGAACATAGGAGTGCAGGTATCTCTATGAGATCCCGATTATAATTCTATTGGATGTGGACAACAGGTATATAAAAAGATAATCAACAACACTAGTCATCAGAAGAATATAAATCCAAACCACAAGGAGATATCACCTCATACTAGCTAGGATGGCTATCATCAAAAAACAAGACAGGTGTTGATGAGGTTGGAGAGCCATACTGTTGGTGGGAATGAAACGGCATAGGAATTCAACACAATATTAAGAAATAGAACTGCCTTATGATCCAGAAACATCAATTTCTACATCCAAAAAAAAAAAAAAAACCTGGGTTCTTGTTTAGGCTAAACCACAGGGCTTCTGACTATGTGCAATGAGTTTCATATCAAGAGGGAGTGGCAAATTACACCTCTTTAAGCAGAAAAGTGATACTTTCCTGTGCTATCTAATGATATTTACTCACAGGTAAACCTATTGTGAAAGTCTACAGTTTAATTTTCTTTTTTGCCATATTTAGATAGTCTCTTACCCATGATAGTTCATCTTACCATTTTTCAGCTCTGTAATGGGTTTATTATGATGCAACTCCATCGTAAGTCAAGGAGCATCTGTTATGCTCTTAGTAAATTATCTAAATTTGTTAGTAAATTCCATTTTGCTGAATGGAGTAGTTGTGCTGAAGGTTTGGCAATCTGGAGAAGAGTAGCCCTTTGCAGAATCCCTGGGCAGCCCTATGATTTTATCAGTATGATTATTAAATATATCAGCAAGAAAGACAGAGCTTTTGAAAACACAGATCACATTGAATACTAATAACAGAAATAAAATGCAAGCAAAAATAAAAAAAAGCATTCTAAGTTTGAAACATCTTTAGTGATGTATTAAAATAACTACATCTGCCTGATGTATATTTTCAAATTCTTAGATAGTGACCACTTTTATGATCATGTCCCCCCTCTCTCATTCTGCTTCTTCATTTCCTCCTTATTCTCCTCCTCTTTATTTCTCTTTTCTCTCTATCTCTCCCTCTCAAAATACACCAACTCTGTCCTATAAACTCTGCAAGTTACAAGGGCTAAATTCCTTGAGCTAATGCCACTGTGGCATGAAGATTTTTGTGTCAGGAAATCCCGGGTATGATTTCAAATTTTCCAGATTGGTAATCTTGTGATCTGAGAGGAGTTATTGACATTTCGAGCTTTTCTTTTCACATTCTAATAGAGTGTGTGGAAATAAATACACGACGTATATACCCTAAAGGAATTCCCTTAAGGAATTCTTAATTCACATTCTCTACAGAAAACATGTGAATTATCCTTCCTTTTCTCCTCAGCAGAAATAAACTACTTCACCATCAATTTTCATGGTAGGAAGAGAAAAAACATATAGAGAAGTATTGAATCTTCCTACTAAAGCATAAAAATGTCTACCTCTATGAATTTATGATTGCTAATTCCATGAGTCATAGCTTGCAGCTAAGTAGCTTGTGTTTTAGGAGAAATTTTAAGATGCCAGTGTCTCATATAATTTCTTATATATTTTTCTTTATAAGTAAAATAAAATCTGAGGTTTTAATCCATCAAGCTTGCAGCTAAGTAGCTTGTGTTTTAGAAGAAATTTTAAGATGCCAGTGTCTAATATAATTTCATATATATTTTTCTTTATAAGTAAAATAAAATCTGAGGTTTTAATCCATCACCCACTGGAAGCTTGGAGTCACAAATGTGCTAAATTTACCAGTAGAGATAGAGACAACCATACCCTGGCTAAACCGCAGCCGTAACAGTGACTGACAAATAGGGAAGTTTGGTCAATCTTGACTTTCCACAAGGGCAGCAGTAGAATTATTTAAACTTTCAGCCACTTGAGAAACAAAATATTGAATGTTTGTAAAAATTAAAATTAACCTTTAAATGTAAGGTGTATTTTAATCACTGAGTACCTAATCTCTGCCATTGTCTCACTAACACTTTCCACTGAAGCTAAATTTGTGCACTGTCCAATATTGCCATGCATATTCCAGACCCCAAGCCTGGGTTCATGTCAAGTGCCCTTTCCATGAATACCCTGCTTTCTCCATGCAATTCACAGCCTACAAACATGGCCTTCCCCCACAGGTACTCTTCATTCATATGCTTCCATTGTGATCACTATGGTCTCTGAAGTCTGTGTTTTGTGTTTATTAAAATGTTTTCTGTATTACTGTACAGATTTGCATATCTGTTTCCATATCATTGAACATTCTAATCATAGCATTTCAACTTCGTAAGTTGTATCTTATATGTGTTTATATCCCACATTTTATACAGAGTAGAAACACATTCAGCACACTTCGAATTGCCAATGATGAATGAAGAAAACAGATTTCTGGATTATGCTGCTGATGGATATGCATCCGTTAAATGTCTGATTATTTTTGTTTTCTATACAGACAAGAATTTATGGAAGATGCATTATCTTCATAAAATCGTTTGGGAAAATTCAGAATGTGTAATATATATAGCATATAATATACTAAATATTAAAATACTTAAATATAAATTGTGTAGATAACATAAAGAATTTTATAGGTACCTAAATCACCATAATCAGGCAGTTGAAGAGAAGACTTACTGCTGCCAAGATGTTTAGTGCCTTCATTTAGAAAATGGTTAATGAAACTTTTACATATATCGAAATCTCTTAGTACTCATATTAATTTGCATAAGCAGATCCTCCAATGAAATATGAGAACCTTAAGGCCAGGTACCATATGTGGGTAAATAGATAGATATTTCAAATTTGTACATTCACAAGAATCTCTGGGGCAACTTGTCACAAAACTTATGCCTGGGACCCACTGCCCTGGATTCTAATTCAGTAGGTCGAAGATGTGAGTAGATTTGCACGATAATGAGCACTTTACATGATTTAGTTATTAAGTGGTCCACATGTCCCATTGGAGAAACACTGGGAGTCCTACCCATTTTCTGTAAAATAATAGATGTTAAATGAATAAATGAAAAACTGAACAAATTAAGAAAAAGAACCAAAAGTAGGCCAGGCACGGTGGCTCGTGCCTGTAATCCCAGCACTTCGGGAGGCCAAAGTGGGTGGATCATTTGAGGCCAGGTGTTCAAGACCAGCCTGGCCAACATGGTGAAACCCCAATTCTACTAAAAGTACAAAAAATAGCTGGGCATGGTGGTGCATGCCTGTAGTCCCAGCTACTCAGGAAGCGAACGCAGGGGAATCACTTGAACCCGAGAGGCAGAGGTTGCAGTGAGCAGATATCGCACCTCTGCACTCCAGTCTGGGTGACAGAGTGAGGCTCTGTCTCAAAAAAAAAAAAGAAAGAAAAATAAGCAGAAGTACACATGTGTAGTTTAGACATAGAAGGAACCTTACCACTTTCTCTCATAAATATGTGTGTCTACCTTGGAGGTTTTTGTAAGAATTTAAATGTGCAGGCTTGTTTATTTGTTCTAGCCCGTTAGGCATTTTTATTTTGCAGTCTTCTGTGGTATTATCTAATAAACAAAATGTGTACAACATTTTCATCTTGGATTCTTTTTAGTGGGTAAAAATGCAAGAAAACATTTTGGAGGATCTACTGCTATATGAATATTATTAGTCAGGAGGCATAAACATATGGTAGGCTAGTGACTCAAGCTCAACAAGTAATGTTTATAATCACAGATGCATTTTCAATGTTATGAACTTGTGTACAGCAGAGAGTAATTCCCAATTACAAGCCCCTACATATCAAGGTGATTGGAAAACAGTAGTCAGAGGTAATTTGCAGGCAATCGGGCACCTACAATTGTTTACCAGGGAAGTAATAAGAAACAAAACAAAATGATACACAGGTAATCACATCTTGTTGATTCAACCCAGCATCACAAGAGAATAAGAGGCAACAATTCAAGTTAAAATTTTTGAAGTAAACATTGCCAGTGAAGCCTTTCCAACAAACATTTAGAATATGCCGTAACCATTTACCTAGGATGTATTGAAAAGAGAAGCATTTTATTTTTAAACAAATGCACAATGCAGTAATTTATGGAAATTAATTTTGCTGCTCTGTATTTTTGGCTTTAAAAATGTACTAAATGGAAAGGCTACACAGTGTTCCCTTAGTAAGATTTTATCAAAGACAAGGGTAAATTATTTTGCAAATACTGGATACATGGATACATGACAGAAATGGCCAACCAAACAAATAAAACATACTTTCTTACTTGGACTATGTCTATATAGTTTATTCTATCTTTATCCATTGGCTTACCTTTTACAATTGAGAAAAATGCACATCATTTTGTATATTATGTGCCTATTTGATCCCTATACATATACATTTGTTGGCATGACATGATGAAGATAAAATGTGAAGAAATGCATGGAAACATAATGGCAGGACTTTGCCTTTTTAATTGTTGCCTATTCAGCAACATATGGTCTTGAACCACTTGCACACAAATCAAACTGAATATTTGTGTCCGACCTCCCTAGAGTTCATAAGTTGAATTCCTAACCCCAAATATGATGGTATTTGGAGATGAGGCCTTTGGAATGTAGTTAGGCTTAGATTAGGTCATTTCATGATGAAAATAGTGGCTCAAAAAAATTTAAAAAAGGAGATTCCCCATCCTCCTCTCAGTGCTTGCAAAGAAGAAAGCCCATGTGAGGACATGGTAAGACGGTGGCCATCTGCAAACCAGGAAGAGACACCTCACCAGGAATAAAATCATCTGGTACCTCGATCTTGGACTTTCTAGCTTCTGGAAGTGTGAGAAATAAATCTCTGTTTTTAAAACCACCCAGCCTATGGTATTTTGTTCTGGCAGCCTGAAGAGATTAACGCAATAGTCTGTTGGAGATGTGTGTAAGCCAGTCCCACTTCAGATTACTAAATCAAAATTTCTGGGGACTGAAATATGAGCAATTTGATCATTGAGGAAACTTCAGGATAATTGTAAACACAAGTTTGAAAACCAATAACAATATTCTAAAAGTTAGAATGACAAAATAATTGATCATCCAAACTGCCACACTGTTTAAAATGAAAAGGAGCATTGCAATAGTTAAGCTAGGACAAGGTAATCTGAAAATTTCCTGAGAAAATCATTGCATATGATCATTTTGCCTGTATAGCTTCACATTTAACCAATTTTTTTAATTAAAACGATCATTCTGCTTGATGTTTTCACTATGTTCAAATGTAGCTTCGTGCATAAAATTTGGGTGGGGGGGAATCAATGTATGTATCTGTGTGGTGAGGATGTAGGCGTGTGTTTACTCATAATATATATTTTATTCGGTTAAAAAAAAGACAGCTATTATGCTAAGCATTGTGAGAATGGAACGTAGGCTGTGAATTACTCTTGAATTTAATTTAAAAATTTTTTATCACAATATTGGTAAGATATAAATGTTTGCCATTTTCCCCTAACTTATTTCAACACTGTTCACAATTTCAGATAAATTCATTATACAATCCAGAAACCACACTTATTTGTGTTTACCCAAATGAGTTGAAAATTTGTGTTTATACAAAAACCCATATGTAGATGTTTATGCAGTTTTCTTTCTAATCACTGAAACTTGGAAGCAAGTAGATGCCCTTCAGTAAGTGAGTAAATAAATAAATTGTGGTCCATGCAGATAATGGAATATTAGTCAGAGTTAAAAGGAAATGAGCTACCACACTGTGAAAAGACATGAAGAAATCTTAAATGCATATGACTAAGTAAAAGAAATCAATCTGAAAGGCTAACTGTATGATTCCAATTGCATAACATTTGAAATAGGCAAAACTATGGAGACAGTAAAAAGATTCGTGGTTGCCAGGGGTTGAGGGAGGGGAGGGATAGAGAAGAGACAATTTTTAGAGCAGTGAAACTATTCTTTTTGATACTATGAAGTAGTTTAATGTTGCCATAGTTGTCAAAACCCATACCATATACAACACCAAGTGTGAACCCTGTTGTAAAATCTGGACTTCGGAGAGTAATGATGTGTCAATGTAGGCTCATCAATAGTATCAAATGTACCATTCTGGTATGGAATACTGTTAGTGGGGAGGCTGTGCTCATGGAGGAAGTAAAGGGTATATGGGAATTCTTTGTACTTTCTGCTCAATTTTACAGTGAAAGGACCTAAAATTGCTCTAAATATAGTCTATTTAAAAGGAGAAATAAGAAGTTACTGTGTATCAGTTGTACTTTAAGTGATCCCAGAAAATGCGTCTGGGTTCCAGGTTAGAAAGTGATCATCTTTTACTGAAATCATGTTGCTATGGCAATTTGGCTGTAACACTTTCTGATTATCTATATGTCTCTAGGAGGGGTCATAGCTAAGCACATGCAGCTGGGCCATCCTGAAGAGAGCGTTATGATTTTTTTTTTTTTTCTTTTTTGAGATGGAGTCTCCCTCTGTCACCGGGCTGGAGTGTAGTGGCGCAATCTTGGCTCACTGCAACCTCCACCTCCTAAGTTCAAGCAATTCTCTTGTCTCAGCCTCCTGAGTAGCTGGGACTACAGGCTCGTGCCACCACGCCCAGCTAATTTTTTGTATTTTTAGTAGAGACGGGGTTTCACCATGTTAGCCAGGATGGTCTGAATCTTCTGACCTCGTGATCTGCCTGCCTAGGCCTCTCAAAGTGCTGGGATTATAGGCCTGAGCCGCCGCGCCCAGCCAAGAGTTGTGATTTTAAATTAATCCCGAGACAATCCTTTCAGAGAAGTATGTGTCCGTTTTGGATATGGTCTTTTCTATCCATGAGCAAATTTGGCTGGCAAATTTCTTCCCATTTCATCCTGGAAGTGGTTGTAGATATGTGTCATTCACTTCATAATACTTAGTTTTACCTTTACATATCTATTTTGCAAAACTCACTAATGATTTTATTGTAAACCTTTATCTTTGATAATAATCTCATATTTCTCCCCACCAAAGACAAGTCCTATTTATAATTAATTCTCCTTAGGAAAGACAGCTTTACTTTTTTCAAGTGGTAGAAAATATAAATTTCTTTCATAAGTTCTTTGCTTGTTCATTTCTGTATCAATTCAATTCCTACTAATGTAATTATCGTAAGATAAAACATTGTTTTTTTAATAAGGGTGCTTGAGGCTTTTTCATATGCATGAGTTAGATGAATCATTTATTATAATATTATTATAATTTATTTTGATAAGAATAATTTTCATTTCTATTTAGCTTCAGGAAAATTTTTCTGAATTCCCTCAATTATATGTTCACAATATGTGAAAGTTATGGGATCTTCTTTTCTGATACCTGAGGCTCTCCTCTCAAAGTCATTATTACTTAGCCAATCAATTCAGAAAAAAAAGAAAATAGTGATTTACTTTTTTATATTCAAAATATGACAAAACAAGTCATTGAATACTCCTTTCTGCTTTTAAAGGCTATTTTTAACATAAATATATAACTCCTTCTCATAAATTAAGATATTGTCTGTAAAAGTATTTGGTAAAGCCTATAGGTAACAGTTATAATTGACAACTTCTTAAGAATTGTACTGTAACTAATCAAGTGCGAGTTTGATTGAAAGTCATTGGTGTATTTATTAAAGATGACATGCTTCAAATATTTTTAATGAAAATACATTTATGAAAAAATGACTTATGTTTGAAGGATCAAATATGTTTATATTTTATAATTATATGCATATATAGATGGACATATAAATACATATATACACATAGATATACAGATATTTATACACATGTTTATAATCTATCTCATGGACATGAGGACAATATTCTATGTTATGGCATAGTTAATATACCCTGAGTAAACTTTATCCTCCAGAATATGCGTTTTTAACTTTAAAACGTAAGACTCTATTAACAGAGCTATTAAATTTATGTATGTAGAGGTGGGTGTTTATGTATGCGTAATCACAGATGGGTATTTAATATTTTTCATTTCTTTATTCAATCCAAGGGTTCATCATGCAAAAATGTTAAACGTCCCTCTTTGCACTACTAAGATAAAAAATGTGATTTTTTACAGATGATTTATAGAATAAACCTTATCAGTTTCTTTATTTTGCCTAAATACTTAGATCTAGTTCTCCTTAAAGTTGTTTTCTAACAAAAATAGTGAGTTTCTTAGTCTTTGATACGTGTTAATATGCCTCCTGCCTATAATCTCTGTTTAAGTGTCCAAACTCCTCAAATGTTTTCCATCATTAAACATTGATAACTCTGCCAGGAAGCTATGTAAATTGTTCTATAAAGATGAAAATTAGCCTCTGCTTAAATCAATATGACCACCTTAGTTGAAACTTCTGAGGAGCTCAAATTGTAAAATGTTCAGCACACTAGCACTAGGAATAGGGTGGCAGGACTACCCTTGAGGGACCATGTACTTATTATTATTATTATTTTTTTAGTTGGAGTCTCACTCTGTCGCCCAGGCTGGAGTGCAGTGGCGTGATCTCCGCTCACTGCAACCTCCGTCTTCTGGGTTCAAGCGATTCTCCTGCCTAGCCTCATGAGTAGCTGGGATTACAGGCATGCGCCACCACGCCCAGCCAATTTTTTTTTTTTTAATTTTTAGTAGAGACGGGGTTTCACCATACTGGTCAAGCTGGTCTCAAACTCCTGACCTTGTGATCCACCCGCCTTGGCCTCCCAAAGTGCTGGGATTACAGGCGTGAGCCACCGCATCCGGCCGAGGGACCATCTACTTTAAGGAATGCAGAGAGATAGACATCTTAATTTACTTAATAGGATGTTTGGGGCATGGGATAAGTAAATTTTTCAAAGAGACAGTATTCATGCATTGGTAAGATATTGTTTTTCTCAGACGTGTGACTTTATCCCAAAAATATGCTATTTTAAAAGACATTTCTTAAAATATGTATGTGTATGTTTGTTGATACTTGCTTATTATATAGCTCATACTGTTTATTAAAATATATCTATTACAGGAGTTATTAGAACGGCCTTACATAACATGGACAGAGAAGCCAGAGAACATTACTCCGTAGTCATTCAAGCCAAAGACATGGCTGGGCAAGTTGGAGGGCTTTCAGGATCTACAACAGTCAACATCACCTTAACCGATGTCAATGACAACCCACCACGCTTTCCTCAAAGTACGTATTTGTTTTCCATGATTTGAATTTATCATTATCTCTTTATGTAAAGTAAAATGAAATACTTGAACAGTGTTATGTTACTGTTTTCTTAAGTGGAATTGTTCTGTTTTTGTACTATATGATCACCCTTCTTCATGTAAGACTCATGAAATCACTCCAGCTATTGTCTTCTGAACCTAGGAAATAATTGGGAATGTGTTCAGAGTTGGAGTTTCATTTGGCATCAAGTTAAATATTAAAAATGATGTGGTGGTACTAAAAAATGGCATCTTGCCTTTGGCGAAGTATCTGTATATTCTTAAAGTATTCATGGAGATGTTGAAAAGGTATTTTGATGTGAACATTCTTTTCATGCAACATTATTCCATACATTCTGTGACTGAATTTTTTAAAAAAATTCTTCATGTTATGAATAAATGCTGTATACAAATGCATGCATGTATGCACACACACACACACACACACACACACACACACACACGCATCATCCAAAAGCAAGTTGAAGTTAATATGATAAGATGAGGTCTCAGAGTAAAATATAAGACTTGAAAACAGAAAGCATAATTCAGTAGGCAATTTTGGGGGGAGAGGAGAAATATGAATCCTGTGGGTTTGGAGGGAGATGGTGTTTATGACATGTTCTGAATGTAAAGGATATAATTATAATATATTTGAGTTTTTAAAAATGGAAGATACTATAGATAACATTTTATACGACAGTCACTAATAATCACAAATATCCTACAGAGGAGTTGTCTCTTATGTTCCTCTTACAAATGATGTCTAAAAACTGTCATAAATTAGATCCTTTGGTACGTCATACAGGCTCTTCTCAAATCAGCGCGAAATGCCTTTCTCAACTTTATCTCTTGTCTCTTAATAGCATTTGCAGTACACCTCAGGCCTAGACACTGTGGAATACTGCCTCCTCCTAAAATATAATAACACTTTGTACGTCCTTACTTCAACTAAAATTTTTCCTTATTCACGGCCCTTTGTTAAAATCCCTGCTACAAGTTTCTCTGAAGTTCCTGTTGCAGAATTAGAACAGTTTTGCAATTAATTCCTGTTGCAGAATTACTCACTCTTTTTTCCCTCTTGCACAGCACTTTTGCATGCTTGTTCGTGTTATACTAATTTTCCCTCTTGCACAGCACTTTTGCATGCTTGTTCATGTTATACTAATTTCTGCAGGTACATAGATCCCCTTGCACAGCACTTTTGCGTGCTTGTTCATGTTATACTAATTTCTGCAGGTACATAGATCCCCTTCCACTTATGAGATCCTCTAGGAAGACGCTTAATTGTTTTGCGAACTTAGGTGTTCAGCCCAGTGAGGGCCCAGCATTTGATAAATGATTCTTAGTGAGTAAATTAGTTGAATTTAAATACTCTGTCAAACCATCATTATTAAAAGATTATTATTAAATACATGCAAATCATAGTCATAGTTAAATAAAAATCATTTTAAAATGTTGATGCCAGAGATAAGATAATGTTACCTGGTGCATTCATGTGGCGTTTGCTCTATGAAGAAAGTATATATCATAGGTAAGTCCATATTTTATTGAGCCATAAAATATAATTAAATTTTAAACCATTTTGCAGATTAGGATGAACTTTTGTATCAATGTTATCACTTAGTTCAACAATGTGCATATACATGAGGTAAATGTTATTATTTCATAGATTGGTACAATTGAAGTTGAAGATAAAGATAATAAGCGATAATTCAGACTCAACAGAATATACTCTTTATTATAATTTAGGATACCAACTTGCCTATCTTGTTTTCAAATAGATTCTACCACCACTATTTTAAAGATGTACATTCATATTGTAGCCTTAATAGACAGAAAACTCAGGTTGTAAATCATAGGATTCAGTAAATGCTAGTTTGTAGTAAATATAGCATCTCCCACTCTCTCTTTTTCTCCATTTCTTCCTAAAATAATTATTAAAATTACAGGTTTATTAAGATTGACTTTGCAGATGTACAGAAAATTTTAATTGTGATGGATATAAGGAATATTATTCATATAGATGAATATAGATATATAATAAAGAGATATTTGTTCCTAATTTTATTATGTTGATCAATAATAGTGTCATTGTTGAAGCATCAGTGTACAGTGAAAATAATCACTTTACCTGACAAAACAGAATAAGTGTATACTCTCTGAGTTAACTCATTGTGTCTAATGAATTCTATGTTTCTTCAGTCAGTAACATTCTGGCAGAATGACTGACAGATGTAAATCCTGCTGCATTTCAAGGTGTTCTTAGAGTTTTGAAAAGGAGGCACTACACAATCAGAAGTTTACACTTGGGGTTTCTTAAAAGATACTTTATTTCGCACTCCATTTGAACAAAACAATTCTGCTTTTGCAACAGTTTGGTGTCACCATGACAAAAGTAGCTTGTAGTAAAGTGCTCTTTAATTTATCCATAAATTGCAGCTTATTAAACAGCTATGTACCTAGTGGGGAAGTATTGTAAACTGCTTGGAGAAAAGAAATAATATAAGGACTTGTATTCACAAAATACCATGACATGCGCAAGTCTATACACAGCTCAAATTCTATAAAGTTCATATCCTGTCATCAAATGGATCCAGTAGTTGAATTGTTTCTCTTAATGTGAGGTTTTTACAGTTGCCCTTTCTACTTCTTTCTCTCATCACCTGTCTGAGACAGTTATATTTCTTACAATTGACACTTGAATAAACATCCCTAACTACAAATTTTGCAAAAATATTCTCTCAAAGTGTTTTTTCCTCCATGCTTAATCTACCATGCTTGAGAAAGTGAGTAGGCTAGTTATATTGCATGGTAATTAGTTATCCCTTTATCTTGAAGTAAATAGGCTTTGAGTAAGTGTTAGAGAGGTAGTAAATTAGAGCTAGTAATTTGCTTTACAATGTCTCTACTCTAGAGAGTTACAAACTCAGTAGCTTAGGATACAAGTCAGATAAATGTCTTGGAGGAAACAGGCTGCTTGTCAGTATCAGGAATGTGAAAAAGGAGCATAGAGACTGGATAATGCATGCCCAACTACAAGGGTAGCTACTATTTAATTCAAATTGATGCCTACCTCTGGGCTACATGGTGTTGGAAAAGGAGCCACTCAAACAAAACAAAGCAAAACAAAAGGACTCATAGTGAAAGAAAACAAATCAGCCCATCTATGGCTTGAAATTCTACTCAAAGTACACAAACGATGTGTACTTCTCCTTCTAGAGAAAATCATCCATCTAAAGATATAAAATTCCCTAGTGTGTGTTCTTTCATTAAAGGTAATCTATTTTATTCTGCCATTTCCTATTCTAGTTTTTAAAAACTTTATTCTGGGTTATGGTTGTTGCATAACTTATTCTTGGATAGGTTAAAAAGTCACTGACATTTATTTATTCTGCACAAACCATATGCATATAAAATTCAATACCTTACATGAAAGTTTACAAAACAAACCTTCTATATCCTAAATGGAAGGAATTATATTGTTGTATTGAGGATTGCTCTTGTAAGATAAGTCATCTAGTAACAGAAAGAAGCATAACACATGCCAAATAATCACAATGAATCAACCTTTAGGGCTTGATCCTCCAATATTACATTGCACCAACTGCAGCCACAAGTGAGCTTCAGTTTTTGGAAATTTGCTATCATTATGTTAGCTTAATCTAACATAACTTTCTCCAGAACTTAAATGATAGTAAATTGCCAAGAACGTAAACTCACTTGTGACTGCAGTTGGTTTAGTGCCATGTAATATTGGAGGATCAAGCTCTAAAAATTCAATAGATGGCAGTATTTCCCATAAAGTTAGTAAACATCACAATTGTTTAACTGGTTTGGGTAATTTCTAAAGTTAATGAGAAAGAAAATATTGCTGAAGATATTGGCATTGATTTTTTTTGGGGGGGGAGCTGTTGTTTTTATTATTTTCATTGTTATGGGTACAAATATGAATTTATATAATATTTTCATCATTAAAATTTTGTTTGAAACAAATTAAAAGAAAAAGAAAACAAAGCTTCTCCCTTGACCCATCAAAATATGCAGGATTTTTTTTAATTATCAAAGAATTGAGGTCTTTCTAGTGTCTTTTGAAAATGATATCTGGGTCATTTTATTATAGTTGTAGGCATATATTTTGAAACGTTTTGAGCATTTCTTTAAAATGACAGTATATATTTGATTTTGATAACTGTTCCTACTCACTTTGAAATAAGATAAATTCTGCAGCTGCATGTTTAGTATTCTACATATGTAAATTTCATTCAAGTTTATTCCTTGTACCATTCCAATTTTCTATATCCTTATAGAATTTTTGCTCGTCTGTTATTGAGAGAGATGTTAAAGTCTTCCAAGATGATACTAGATGTTTCCATTTCTCTTTTTTCCTCTGTTTAATTTTTCTTAGATGCAGTTTTAAACCATGCTATTGGATGCACACAGATCGAAGGCTTTGATATCTTTCTCTTGATTAAAATTGTTTTATTGTGAAATATATGTCTATAGTTCTAATAATACTCCATACCTTAAAGTCTAATTTGTCTCCTATAGCTATTCCAGAGGTTTCTTTTTTTTCTTCATTTCTTTTTGGTTATGGTTTGTGTGGTATAATGTTTTCTATAATTGTACTTTCAAACTTTATTGTTCTTAATTTTTTATTCTTAATTTATAAATGTTTCTTGTGACCACTTAGCTAATATTTTTGTTGTTGTTTAGTTTAAAATGACATTATAATTTCTCTTGCTTTTGTTGATTTACTACACTTATAAGTATCTTAATTACTGATATAGTTTCATTTAGGTATATCATTTGCTATTTGGCTAATCTTTTCTTCTCCTTTTTTCCCCTCTCTCATATTCTTTGAATTATTTAATTTCATTCATTTTGTCCTCCATTCACTTTTTAAAAATTTTACATTTTTATACTTTTTTCTATTTAAAAAATACTGTAGATATTATTATTTATTTCACTCTACCTTAAATTATAATTTCATTGCTTGAAAATAGAATGACTTTAAAACTGTTTAATGTCATTAACCCTTTGTTGTTGTTTTTTCTATTTTTGTCATCTTATATATTCAGTCCTATATGAAATTGTCATTGTTGCTGTTGTGTTAAATAGCAAATCATTATTTTTTAAGACAGTAATAATTTACCCTTCCTGGTACTATTTATTTCTCCTTGAATTTCTGTGTTTCCTTCTAGAATTATTGTTTTCTAAAGGGAATTGTAAATTTCTTAAAATATTATTTTCCCATTTTTAGTGACAGAAAACTGCCAATGAATTTTCTCAGCTTTTCTATATAAATTTACAATTTTGCCTTTATTTGCAGAAGGTATTTCCAATCAGAATAGAATTTTAGTTTGAAGGATTTTCTCCATTTCAATAATTATTAATATAATTTGCTGTTTACCATTTTGTTCATTGAAAAATCAACTGTAGAATTCCTTTACTGTACAATAGTTTACTGTAGTTTATTGGACCTTTCTTCTATTAAGATATTCTTTGTTATATTTTGTTTTCAAAAATTTAACCTACAATGCACCTAGGTATTTACTTTTTAAAAATCTGACTAATGGTTGTAAAGATTTTTTAAGCTATCTTTTATTAGTTTTGAGAAACTCTTGGTTAGAATTTTTTCAAGTATTTCTTCGACCTCATTTTCTCACTTCTTTTCTATTAGTTCTACAAAGTATGTCAGCTAGGTCTTTCAGTTATATAACATTCATCTATTACTGTCTTTGCTGTATAATAATTATTATTCTACAGTCTTCTACAGTCTTCTTTAACCTGGATATTTTATATTAACCTATATTCTAGTACACCAATCCTTTCTTCTGCTGTTTGTTCAGCAATTAAACCCATCTATTAAATATATTAAGTACACACTTCAGCATTGACATTTTTGTTCTAAAATTTTTATTTGGTTTAGTAGATAAAGATTATTGGTATCTGTTGAAATTCCCCACCCTTTTCTTTATTTAAACATATTAACCATAAACATATTAACCATACTTATTTCAAAACTTTTTGTAGAATTCTAATATCATAATCATGCCTGGGTCATTTTTTACATTTTTTCCTTCTTAGTTTTAGCCAATGCTCATTTTTAATCATGACTTTGAATTACTGATTGAACATTACATAAAGGAGTTGCAGAGGTTCATGATTGTGCAATCTTTCAAAGAGGGGCAAGTTATTTCTTGCAGACATATACAGTGTGGATTACTTAAATCAGTTGGATTCTGTTAGCACTAGCTTATTTTATTGCTCTCCTTACTTCCGGGAAGTAGCTCTTATTCCTGGAATCCGGATCTTTCTTTACTTACTCTCCACTGGTCTCAAGTGTTTACCAATTTCTGACTCTCCAGTAACTCATGGCTGCTGAAATCTCTGCCTAGCGCCTTTGCCTTCCAGATGCACTTTCTGTTGGTTTCTCAGAGCCTCTACAAGTGTCAAAGTAGTGGATGTGTCTACAATTACCACAAGAAAAATTGCATTTGTTTTTTTCCTCACTTACCTGAGGTTTCTTCTTCTCTGTGCTTTTGTCCTCAATTTCTCAGCCCCTGTGCCAGCTCTGAACTCCAACCTGTCTCCAAAAGCTACACAATTTTTGCTTGGACTCTTTCAACCAGCACTACATATTTTTAAATACCCTCAGTATATGTGCATATAAAATTTGTTTTGTTATGGTTTCTTTCTCTCAAGAATCATACTCCATCCTGAGTTCCCTACATTAATTGCCTTCAATGCCTTAAAACAGTCATTTTCTATATACTATGCATCTTTTAGAGTTGTTTTATATGACAGAGTTAGATATACCCCTCCATCATATCCAGATTTGAAAGATCATTCCACTTAAGTTTAAATAGAAAGATTATGGAAGATAATTAGATGTATTCTCTATCAATTTGTATTCTATGTGGCTAAATTGAAAGGATGAACTCTAAAATAAAGATGAAATTATTAAATTAACTTTAAATGAGTAATATTATTATTTTATTTTCATTTAGCCTTCATAGAAACACAATATTTTTATCTTACATCATGATATTTAGTTTATAAAGATAATTGAAAATTATTATGTATTTATTATAATAAGACACATACACCTGTAGATCATATTCTTTCTAACAAAGTAACAGCTATAAATAAATAATAGTATTACATTCTTCTGATTTTAGAATTGAATATTTTGAAATTATATGGAGCTCTCTGTTTAGAAACGTACTAGTCATGACATTTCAATTGTATTACGGTTTGTTTTTAATCTATGTGGTTGTGTACTATAATAAAGTTACAGAATAATTCCTTTTCCTTTACATAATATTTTGTTTAGGTAGGTATGTTTATGGTAATAAGCATATATTTCTTGGAAATAATTTGATTCTTATAGTTAGGCATTACAAATCAATTTGCACACCTTCAAAGAATACTTAAAAAGTGGACTGAATTTCAATTAAAATTTCTAATAGTCTTTCTTCAAGCATTTATGTGTTATTTATGATTAAGAGTGAGAGAAAACAAAGAAAGTGTTCCACTATAATACTTGAGAGAAAAAAAAAACTTTCTATAGAATAATCAGCTTTCCTATAGTGCATGTTGACACATAGAAACAGAATGTATTGGGTTAAACGATTTTAAAGATATTTCTTAGAACAGTAAAGATTCTGATAGAGGAAAATTGCCCTTTTTATTTATGGCATTCAAATGGCAGTAGTACTTAAATTTACTTTATTTATGTTTTAAAAAACATTGCACGTAGAGCCAACCACAATGCTTAATAATCAATATTCAGCTTAAGTCTCTTAAATGCAGGAAAATCTCAGAATACTTTGTGTGTGTGTGTGTGTGTGTGTGTGTGTGTGTGTGTGTGTGTGTGTTTTAATTTGAAATTAGCATTCTCAGCATAAACTGTATTTGCATAAACATTTAAAGTGGAGATTATAAAAACTGTCTGGTTAATTTTATCAGGAAAGACAGGCAAACTCTGTAAGTCAGACATCATAGTTTCTAACCTCTCACATGTCAGTCAGTTTTCCCTGAGAAGCATCTCACTTTCTCAAGTAAATACTATAAAATAGTAAATAGTTCTAACAAATGTAATGATTAAATTTATTACAGCTTTTGTAAGATAGGGCCTTGGGGTAATCATAGGGAATGACTTATTCAAGTAAATGACAAAATTACTGTAGTAAAGACACAAGGTCTTTTAAAAAGCAACTAGAATCAGTGCTGTCCTGGAGGAAAAGAAAGTATATTAAAAGGGACAAGCCTCAGTGAGACAAATGCCCTTTTATTATTCCCACCATGTCTTCCTTCCTTAAGTGTATTTTCCATAATCAGTAGTATATTATGATGCAGTCTAAGAAATTATGTGAAAAGATCACATGTGGCATACAAAACTATGGTGCATCCAGATACAAAGCTGTTACACAGTGAGATCTGTATTCCTAAGCTGTGAAAAATTATGTAGTCTTAAAACCAGAATAAATTATTCTAGTACTACTTGAAGAAATTAAAAAGTAAAAAAAATTCTAATGAGTTAGAACATAATTTATATATATTTTATTTATGTATTTATAATTTATATATTTATATATATTTTATTGATACTATAAACAATTTGGTGCCTAAAATTGAAAAATGCACATTGCCCTACCTCATATCTCAGAAAATCTAAGCCTCACACACTGAAAATCCAAGCAAAACTAGCATTTTGAAGATAATTATATATTTTGGTAGTAATATCACTTTTTGTGATTTTGGTCAGATTTTCATCATAAATTCCCAGCATTTGTTGTGTCTCTTCTTCATTTTTCTATTCTGAAAAACAGCTCAATTACTAGTTGTTCTCATTTTGATTTTATTTTTTGTAGTTAAAAAATATATACAATAATATTTATCCTTTTAACAACTCTAATGTGTGCATTTAAATAACACTACGTATATTCATATTGTTGTGCAACCAATGGTACTATTGAAATACAGAAGTCTTTTCGTCTTGCAAAAGTAAAACTTTGTACCCATTGTTTAATGGGTACTTTCCCATTTTCCCTCTCCTGAGTCTCTGGTTATTCAACTTTCTATCTCTATGAATTTTACTGTTCTAGGTACTTTATATAAGTGGAATCATGCAATATTTGTCTTTCTGTGCCTGGCTAACTTTGGTAAACATAATGTTTCAAGGTTCATCCAGGCTGTAAGATGTATCAAATTTTAACTTATTTTGTAATGATAATTAATATTTTATTTAATGTGTATACTGCATTTTATCAGTTCCTCTGTTGCTGCATGTTTGGAGTGATTCTACCTTTTGGCTATCATGAGTAAGGTGGCTGTGAATATGGGTGTAACACCCCACTTTCAGTGCTTTTAAGTATATATCCAGAAGCGGAATTGCTAGATCATATGGTAATTTTATGTTTATTTATTTATTTTTTTTTTTGAGATGGAGTTTCGCTCTTCTTCACCAGGCTGGAGTGCAATGGTGCGATCTTGGCTCACTGCACCCTCCGCCTCCTGGATTCAAGGGATTCTTCTGCCTCAGCCTCCTGATTAGCTGGGATTACAGGTGCCCTCCACCATGCCCAGCTAATTTTTTGTACTTTTAGTAGAGATAGGGTTTTATCATGTTGGCCAGGCTGATCTTGAACTCCTGACTGCAGGTGATCCACCTGCCTTGGCCACCCAAAATGCTAGGATTACAGGCATGAGCCACCACGCCCTGCCATGTTTAATTTTTTTAGAGGCCTCCATACTGTTCTCCACAATGGCTATACCATTTCACTGCTCCACTAACAGGGCACAAGAGTTCTAATTTCTCCACATCCTCACCAACACTAGTCATTGTCTTCTTTTTTTTTAATTTTAATTTTTTATCTTTTTTGGAGAGATGTCTATTCCAGTTCTTTGCCTATTTAAAAGATTGGATTGTGTGTGTGTGTGTGTGTTTTGCAGTGTTAACTTATAATAGTTTGCATTTATTTATGTCTTTAATTTATTTCCACAATATTTTGTCATTGTCAGTGCACACATTTTTTGTTAGATTTATTCCTAAATATTTTATCATTTTTATGGTATTAAGAACGGAATTGCTTTATTTTCTTTTGCAATTATTCATTATCTTGTAACTTTGCTGAATTACTTTATTAGTTCTAAAAGTTTGTGTGTGTTTGTATGTGGGGGTGTGTCTGTATTTGTGTACTCCCTATGGCTTTCTATGTATAAGATCATGTCATCTGTGAACAGAGATAATTGTATTACTTCCTTCCCAATTTGGATGCTTTTAATTTCTTTTTCTTGCCTTATTACTCTGGCTAGGATTTCCAGTATTATGTTGAATAAAAGTTCAAAAGTAGGCATCCTCTTTTGTTCCTGGTCTTACAGTAAATGCATTTAGTCTTTCACCATTTTAGTGATATTAGTTGTGGGGTTTTAACATATGGCTTCTATTATGTTGAGGAAGTTTCTTTTATTTATAGTTCTATTTTATGTTTTTTTAAATCATAAAATGGAATTGAATTTTGTCAATTGCTTTTTCTGTAGAATTGACATGACCTTGTGATTTTTTTCTTTATTCTGTTAATGGAAATGAAAATTAATTGATTTTCATATGTTGAACTAAGCTTGTATTCCAGGAAAAAAAATCCCAATTGCTCATGGTGTACATTCCTTTGATATTATGCTGAAATCAGTTTACTAGTATTTTGTTAATAATTTTTGTATTAATATTCATAAGGAATATTGGTTTTTAATTTTCTATTATTTTAGTGTCTGTCTATTTTTGGTTTCAGGAGAATGCTGGTCTTATAAAATAAATTAGGTAATTTCCCTCTTTTTTTACTTTTTGCAAGATTTTGAGAATTTGTGTTAATTCTCCTTTAAATGGTTAGTAGAATTAAACCAGTACAGCCATCTGTTGCAGGGCTTTTCTTTCTTGGGAAGTTTTTGATGGCTTATTGACTCTCCTTATCAGTAGTATGTCTATTCAGAATTTTCATTTCTTCCTAATTTTGTCATGGTAAGTCATATTTAAAAGAATATATTCATTATTTATACATTCTCCAGTTAGTTGGTATTTGTTTGCAGGACTTCCTTGTAAAATCCTTTTATTTCTGTAAAATCAGGGTAGTGTTTCTACTTTATTTCTGATTGTAATTATTTGAGAGTCCTCTTTCTCTTTCTTAGCCAATCAATTTTGTTGATCTTTTTCTAGAGAGAACAGATCTTGGAACTGGCTTGTAACCTCCTGCAGACCAAGATCTCCTTGCCCTGGGAAGGGAATGGGGCAAGAGCAAGTTGAAACACCACAGATGCTTAATGCTTGAATTTATTTTTTCCTTAGTTGAGGATTTTCTTGCTTTCTGTACACGTTTGAATATTTCCAAGAGCTTTTATAAGTTTATTTCACCTAGTTTTAAGTCACTTGTTCCCTCATGGAAACATCGAAAAGCAACTTAAAACTAGCTGAGCTAAACTTATAAAAACTCTGGGAAATATTCAAATGTGTACAGGCTTGGAGCTTTGTAATCTGCCATTTTTCTAATGTAAGTCCCATCTTTGTTTTTTTAGGCATTTAAATCATAAGTGCTACCAATACATTTAATTTTTCCAGATAAGAAAAGGATTCCACCTTAAAAATAATGTAAGGCATTAAAATACTACATATCCTATAGTACATATTAGTGTGGTAGATATTTCATTCAAGGAAAAAATTTCTCCCCATGTACTTTCTATTTTTTTCATGAAAGTATCTAATAATTGCCAAGAATGGACAGACCTTCATGAAAACTATATTTCTTTTTTTCAAGAAAAAGGACAGAAAAATAAATTCAAGTGTATAAATTATTGATATTTTACTGTTAAAATAATTAGGTATCTAGTATGAAAAAATAATTTAATTTAGAGGAGTGAGGAGAGACAACCCTTAGTGACCCTAAGCATCGACTTTAGTGTTATAGAGAACAGCTGGCTCAGTAGATATAAGTTAATTTAAGACATTAAAAGCTGGTACCAGCTGAAAAACTCTAGAGGCTTATTTATTTTTATTTTTATTTTTAATTATTATACTTTTAAGTTCTAGGGTAGATGTGCACAACGTGCAGGTTTGTTACATATGTATACATGTGCATGTTGGTTTGCTGCACCCATTAACTCGTCATTTACATTAGGTATATCTCCTAGTGCTATCCCTCCCCCCTCCCCCACCCACGACAGGCCCCGGTGTGTGATGTTTCCCTTCCTGTGTCCAAGTGTTCTCATAGTTTAATTCCCACCTATGAGTGAGAACATGCACTGTTTGGTTTTCTGTCCTTGCAATAGTTTGCTGAGAATGATGGTTTCCAGCTTCATCCATAGCAAAGTGACCTTTACAGTTAAAGAGCTCCCCTGTTGCATGGCTAAATAGGTGCTCCAGTGCTCACTGTCTCTCCCACCCTGAAAACATGGAGAACATTATGGGAATTGGATTTCTTTCTATTGAGGTTCTGTTTTGGTTTTGTTTTTGTTTTTGTCTTGTTTTTATTGAGACACAGTCTCGCTCTGTCGCCCAGGCTGGAGTGCAGTGGTGCGATCTCGGCTCACTGCAAGCTCTGCCTCCCGGGTTCACGCCATTCTCCTGCCTCAGCTACAGGCATCTTCCACCACCATGCCCGGCTAATTTTTTGTATTTTTAGTAGAGATGGGGTTTCACCGTGTTAGCCAGGATGGTCTCGATCTCTTGATCTCGTGATCTGCCCGCCTCGGCCTCCCAAAGTGCTGGGATTATAGGCGTGAGCCACCACGCCTGGCCGGCTCTGTGTTTTTTTAGTCACTCTTTACTGCTACACAAATCAGATGAAATATCGTCACAGAGCTGATGACTATTAATAACTGGGGGTGTTCTTTTCTCACTTATGTATATGATGACCAAAATATATACTGTAAGTGTACTGGGCCAGCATAATAAATATGAATATTTTTATATTCATAAAAGCAGAGCTACGTGTAAAGCAGCATAACATCTGTTTTACTTAGTAAATACTTGAAAAATAAATTCTTGCATTTTGAAAATACATGTTAAATGACTTGAATTTTTATAAAAAGACACATAATCCATTATATAACAGATATTGTTTACATCAATTTCTTCATTATATCAACTAGATTCATGATCCATGTCTTTTAGATTATATAATCTTAGGACATCTATGAATATGTTGCGTCTATTATATAACACTGTGTGTACATATATTTGTGTATGTAAATATATATACACACACATATATGGAAATTATATTTGAAAGTTTAAAGTTATTATCTTTTATGGTAGAATACTAAATATGATATCACTACAATCACAAAGCAATAAACATTATCAATTGAGTCATATGATTTTTAAAAAAATTATTTTAGTGATAAAACAACAAATTGCCTTTTTTCTATTTTGTCTATTCCAATTTTTCATTAATAGTCACATATTAGTGCATAGTTATAAATAACCCTTTGTTATAAATACAAATTTGACATTTTATTTGCAAATTTTAGTAATTCTGTGAAGTTGGACAACCAGATTCTAAAAGTTATATTACCATTACTGTTTCTATGTGGCTTAAATAGCTGGAATTTACTAAAGATAACACATCTCTTCATTGTGGGATGTCCTTTGCTACAGCCAACTTGAGTAATTTTTAATACTAAACATAATTATTTAACAGTTGTAAGTTTCATGGACATAAACAATTTTAGGGAAGTGAGGAGATAATTTAATTTTGTTATCAAATTGATATTTTAAAAATACAATTATCATTTAGTTTTTTCATTTCTTATTTTTTATTTGTTTTGTTTTCAATATAGTTTGTATCAGCAAATGGGGAGTGTTACATGAAGTTTAACCTTCATATTTGGTTCATTCAGTTTCCTATGTCCTTCTTTTGTTGTAAACTTTAAACAATTTATTCTTTTTTCATTGTTCTACATTTTAAATTTTCCAAATAGTTTCAATTTCCTTTTTTAAAAAAAGATGCAAGATTGTAAATGCCCAGCGTAAAGTTGGAGATGACCATCCTTTGAATATTTTAACAGAAACTCAGGATATAGTAGAAGTGACTATTCATTTGGGAGCCATAAGTTTATATGTTGATGTTGAAACCACAGGGACAAATGTACCTTTCTAGAGTGTGTATATAAGGAATAGAAATGAGGTACTAAGTTACGGACAATACTCTCTTTTAAGAAAAAAGTGAAAGATAAGTCTGTAATGAAACTGAGATATTAGCAAAGTAGTGATACAACCAGGGAAGGTCTGTGTTCTAAAACTCTAGAGAGGGCCTTTTTTATAGCTGTAGCCTAAGTAAATTTTCCTGCATGTGAATAAGGAGATATGTAAAGTAAAATTCATTTGACTATTTCTAAATTAGAAAAATATAAGGTTAGATAACTTGTAGCATATTATTAAAATAAACACTACATTCTAATTAACAAACTAGAACTATATGCGACATCTTAGTTACATCTCAAATTATGATTTTGAATAAAAAATACAAAAAAAGATGAATATAAACATAAAATCTAAATAACCATACTATTTGAATATGTATTTGTGGAAACACATTACATTAATATTTTTAAGTTATATAAGGGGATGATCATGGTTCTGGGAAGATGAGCTGAGAATTTGATTATAGCAAATGGCTCACTTAGAAGCATCACCTATGCCTTCAATAGTATGTTACTTTATCAAATGAGAACTGAAGCAAATACACCAAAACATTAAGATTTGACAGCATACGTGTGTGTTTCATGACATTTTTTATTTGTTTTTTTTTCTGTTAGAAATATATCAAAGTATAAAATCATAGGAGGAGAAATAATCAGCAATAAGGGTGCAATAGAATCATGTTTTGTTTGTTTGTTTATTTTGGTTTTCAGTTTTCCTCAACATAACTCACAGTGCCCCAGGATGACAAGAACAATAAAAGAATGCATTTGAATTAGCAAATCACTGGCAACTACTGCAAAAGTGTGTATAGCTTATCTATGCCTGTGTTGCAAAGCATTCCAATTGGCATATTAAAACAACTAATATTTATTATTTCACAATTTCTGTAGGTCAGGAATCTAGCTATGGTTTAGATGAGTGCCTTTGGTTCATGCTTATGAGATTCCAGTGTAGAAGTCAGCAGGGGCTGAGGTCTTGCCCAAAGGCTTACCTCAGTGGAGGTGGAGCTGGTTTCTGCTTCCAGCTTACTCACATGGCTTTTGGCAGGCATCACTCACTTGCTCTATGGGCTGCAACGAAACATAACAGATAGCTTGCCCCAGAGAGTGATACAAGAGGGAGTGAGAAAGTGTTCCCATGATAGAAGCCACAGTCTTTTTGTAACCTAGTCTTGTAAGAGATGTCCGATTACTTTTGCTGAACTCCATCATAAGTGAGCCACTATATCTAGCCAACATTCAAGAGGAAATGATTACTCAAGGACATGATCAGCAGGATGCATGGGTAAAATGTGGCCGCCTTGAAGGCTGTCTACTAAAAGTTGACTCTTAATTTACAAATTATAATTCTCAACTCAATGGAGAGTGTACAAAATATTAATCTTAATGCACTCCTTTGTTTAATGGGACATAGTGAATGGGGAAGTTACTATTCTTGCAATTCTTAAAATGTGTCAAGAATTATCAGGTTTTTTTTCTATAAACATAATCTGCCTGTACCAGGAATCTGTTTCATATTTTAAGACCCAGCCTAAATGTTTTCTGGGCCGTGAGTCTTTTGTGACCCATTTGAACAGTTTTTTGCAATCCGCTTTGTGAAAACAACCTTCTTTATAACGCTATCATCATAGTAATTCTATAATGTATTTATTTATCTCTGTTAACTAAGACATCTTTGGTTTTCTAGTGTTACCATCCTAGTATTAACTACTTGACAGGTTTTTGAAGGCTTATGTAATAGTGGTTAATTCTGGTTTAGTTGGACCTTGGAGACCACAGCATCCAAAAAAATTGACTCCTTCTAGTCTCTGTCTCAAAATATTTTAGAGAATTTGTACCAATTTATTTTGTAATATGTCTATACATTTTGTTGAGCAAAACAGTGTCCCATTATAGATGTGACTTTTCAGGAACATCATGATATTTTCAAGGCCAGTGCAAATCACATGGCTTCTCTTTGATGCTGATTTTATGCCCTCAAATTTGGCCTTTCAACATCAATTTTGGAAACACGACCATTGACAAAAGCCTCTTCTTAGTATTTCATAGCTGTGCCACCAAAGAGAGATGAAAGTTATTTTCTAGTTCCAGTTCAACATTTTTGAGAAATATACTCTTTTTGGAGATGTTTGAAAAACTGCCTACCCTTCACCAATCAACTGTGAGAACGAAGGAGGGATCCTATAACATTTGGGTCTCATGCTTTTCCCATGCCAATTCACAGAATCAAGGAAGATAGATCTTTTAGTAATGGTAGATCTTGATAAAACCATATGGTTAAGGTCAAGGGATTGTTTGTTTAAAAGAAGAGGGTGTTTTACACAGGAAAAGATATGTTGGTTGAACATACAATTTATTCGGACATTTAGTTTAGTTAGACTAAAAGCTAATGTCTTTCTTACTTTGCTGTGAGTTTATTCCAGGTGTATTCTCCAATGCTTATGAAAGAGAGCTGAGAAAAATATTTGTTGAACATTGACTAAACACAAACACATACATGAACACGTGTGTCAACCCTTAGTATCTATACATGCACATTTAAAATTATACATTTTTGTCTTTAGAAGTTTATCAAATGATTTTTTTATTTTTGAGATGGAGTCTCGCTCTGTCGCCCAGGCTGAGTGCAGTGGCACAACGTCGGCTCACTGCAACCTCTGCCTCCCAGGTTCAAGCGATTCTCCTGCCTCAGTCTCCCAAGTAGCTGGGATTACAGGCGTGTGCCACCACACCCAGCTAATTTTTGTATTTTTGGTAGGGATGGGATTTCACCATGTTGGTCAGGCTAGTCTCGAACAGGTCTCGAGCCACCGTACCAGGTTCAAATAAATATTTTAAACCATGAACACTGAATGTCTTTCCATTTATTTGTCTTTTTACATTTTTCATCCATGTTTTCTAGTTTACGGTGTATAAGTCCTTCACTTCCTTTTGTCTTTTTACATTTTTCATCCATGTTTTATAATTTTCAGTGCATGAGACTTTCACTTCCTTAGTTTATTTATACAGATTTTATTCATTTCAATGCTATTATAAATGGGATTATTTTTCTAACTTTTTCAAATAATTTTTATTAGTGTGTATAGATGCAACTAATTTTTTTGTTGATTTTATGTCTGCAACTTTACCGAATTTGTTTATTAGTTATAACAATTTTTGTTTTTTGTGGAGCCTGTTTTTTTATATATGTAATATTATGTTATCTACAAACAAGGACAGTTTTACTTATTTCATTCTGATTTAGTTCCCTTTTATTTTTTTTAAATGCCTAATTGCTCTGGCTATGTCTTCCAGTACTATTTTGAAAAGAAGTGGTAAGAGTGGGCATCCTTGCTTTGTTCCTGATCTTATTGGAAAAGCATTAAGCTTTTATGTATATAATGTTATCAGTTGCACTCTCATAAAATGTCTATACTACATTTTAACTCTACAAGTACAGTAAAATCCCTATCAAAATCCAAATGACATTTTTTTACAGGGAGAGCAAAGAACAATTCTAAAATATATGTGGAAAGACAAAGGCCCTGAAGAAGCAAAACAATGTTGAAAAAGAAGAACAAAGCTGGAGGCAACACACTTGCTGATTTCAAAATATTTTAAAATGCTGCAGTAATTAAAATAGTATGGTAATGGCATACAGACAGATATGTAGGCCAGTGGAACAGAGTAGAGCCTCTAAATAAATCCAGACACAGGTAGTAAAATCATCTTCAACAAGGTTGCTAAGAATACACAATGAGAAAAGGATAGTCTCTTTAAAAACAGGCCGGGCGAAGTGGCTCATGCCTGTAATCCCAGCACTTTGGAAGGCAGAGACAGGTGGATCACGAGGTCAGGAGTTCAAGACCAGTCTGGCCAACATAGTGAAACCCTGTCTCTACTAAAAATACAAAAAATTAGCTGTGTGTGGTGGTGCGGGCCTGTAATCACAGCTACTCAGGAGGTTGAGGCAGAAGAATCCTGTGAAGCCAGGAGGCAGAGCTTGCAGTGAGCCAAGATGCACCATTCCACTCCAGCCAGAGTGAGATTCCGTGTCAAAAAACAAAACAAAACAAAACAAACAAACAAAAAAATGCATTGAAAACTCATTATCTATATACAGAAGAATGAAAATGGCTTCTTTTTGTATATCATACACAAACACTAATTCAAACTGGATTAACAAGTTAAACATAAAATCTGAAACTGCACAACTCTTAAAAGAAAAAAATAGGGGTAAAGCTTTATGACGTTAGTCTTGATAATGATTAATCTGATATGACCTGCAAATCCCAGGCAATAATAACAAAAACAGACAAATGGGACTATATCAAGTTGTAAATTTTTAACACAACAAAGGAAACAATCTACAGAGTGAAAAGCAGCCTGTGAAGTGGAATGAAATATTTGCAAGCCCTGTCTGCTAAAAGGCTTATTTCCAAAATAAAACTCCTACAACTCAATAATAAAAGGAAAGAAGAAGAAGAAGAAGAAGAAGAAGAAGAAGAAGAAGAAGAAGAAGAAGAAGGAGGAGGAGGAAGAGGAAGAGAAGGAGGAGGAAGAAGGAGGTAGAAGGGGAGGGGGAGTGGGTGAAGGAGGAGAAGGAGGAGGAAGAACGGGAGGGGGAGTGGGTGAAGTAGAAGGGGAGGGGGAGACAGAAGTGGGAAAGAAAGGGAGGAGGAGAGGGAGAAGGAGAAGAAGGAAGGAAAAAAATGATCAATAACCTGATTAAAAAATGGGCCTAGGACCTGAATAGCTGTTTCTCTAAAGAACACATACAAATGGACAATAGGTACGTATAAAGATGCTCAATGTCACCAGTCATCATGGAAATGCAAATCAAAACTACAGTATGATAACACCTCATACCTCTCAGGATGGCTATTTATGAAAAAAGCCAATGACAGAAAAGTATTGTTGAGGATGTGAAGACATTTGAACCCTTGCAAACTGTTGGTAGAAATGTGAACTTGTGTAGCGTCTACAGAATATAGTATAAAGATTCCTCAAAAATTAAAAGTAAAATTACTATATGACCTAATGACCACACTTCTGAGTATTTATTTAAAAAATCGAAATCAGGATTACAAATAAATATTAGCATTCCTATGTTTATTGCAGCATTATTCACAATAGCTAAGACATGGAAACAATCTAAATGTCCATAGACAGAGAATGTAGAGAAAAATGTGGTTTATCAAACAATGGAATAGTATTTAGCCTTAAAAAAAGAGATCTTGCAATACGCAACAACATGGATGACTACTGAGGACAGTAGACTGAATTAAATCAACCAGTCACTGAAGGGCAAATATAGTACTGCATATTTCAAGCAGATGAGGTATCTAAAATAGTAAAATTCATACAATCAAAGAATGGAGTGGTTGTTACCAGGGACTAGGGAAGGTGAGTGAGGAGTTGCTAATCAACAAATATAAAATTGTCATTATGCAAAATGAATAAGTCCTAGAGATCTGCTGAAAAATACTGTGTCTATGAATAGCAAGGCTGTGTTGTGTAGAAATTTGTTTATCGGATGGATCTCATATTAAGTGTTCTTATCACAATAATAAAAAATGATATTTTCAACATTCACTAGATTAGACTTTTGTTTTCAGTATCATATCACTAATGACAAATGATTGTCTCACTGAAATTATTTTTCTAGAGATTGTGCATTCACTTATCTATATAGTCTATGTCCTTGTATAGCATTGAATCACTATTAATTTAATCTTGGTAGAAATTATTTTATCAAATTACATTTTAATTCAAGATTCCTGGGCTTCTGTTATTTATAATGTTTTGAATTTTCTATAATAAATTGCTCTAATAAGCTTTTTTAACTTGTCAATAAAATAATTATTAAAAACATGTTCATTATGCTTCTTAATATAAGCACTATAGAAACGGTTCCATTCGACATTTAATATCAGGACAAACTTTGGAAAAATGATCTTTGTACCTATTAGACAATGAGAGTATAAAATTAACAGTGCTTTAAAATTGTTAGCTATCTATCTAATCTATCTATCTGTCTATCTATCCATCTGTCTAATGAGCTACTTGTGTACATATACTTTTCTATTTGGATTGTGTGAAATCTCATTAATTCTTCTTCTAGTAATTACAATTGTATATTGATTTAAAATTGAATATTAACTTGTCTGTTGAATACTATCATAGGGGAGTTCTAAGAATAAATTGGTTTTAACACTTAGAGAACAATAATCACCACTTGTGTATATAAAATATCACTGTCTTCACCCAAAATATTAGGTGTCAAAATTAATGCTAATTCACAAATGCTGTTTAATTTTCTATAGCTATTTACTTTCTCATGCTTCAACTCTGTAATCGATTTTTAAAAATTTTAATAACTTTGTTATTTAAAACTTTATTATGAAGCCACCTCAAATCCTTTTTAGAAGCTGATAGGGAATTTATGCTAAAGAAATATGTAACTACATTCACGTTCTCGGACATGACTGTATATCTCACTATTCTTGATAAAAATAATTATCTATATTCACAAACAGGCTATGGCATTTTATCTTGTTTTTCTGTTGAATTCCATATTTCCATACTTTTTGTTTCCACATTTTTATATTTGAACTTCACATTTACGATGGGTGGAAGAATAAATTGGGATTACACTAATACTTGACTAATTCAGTTTTGGTTCAAAATCAGAATGAAAACTTTACCTCTCTTCTAATTGTCTGTAGCTTAAGGGTTTAGAGCTAATAAAATATTTCATATTCAAATATAGAAATTATTTTCATGCAAAGTATTTTACGTACCTTTTAAAGTTTATATAAATCTAGTATTTAATTACAAAATAGTCTACTTTTAAAATCTAAAAAAGTCCATTTGATGCATTACCTAATATAGTCTTCATTTGAATATGTGCTCTAAATATTTATTTTTTCTTGTAAGATTATTTCATGAACATTGTATTTAAATATGTTTAATATGAAATGTCTTCCAGAACACTATCAGCTATATGTTCCTGAGTCAGCTCAAGTTGGTTCAGCTGTTGGGAAAATCAAGGCAAATGATGCTGACACTGGCTCAAATGCTGACATGACCTACTCCATCATAAATGGTGATGGCATGGGAATATTCTCAATCTCCACTGACAAAGAGACCAGAGAAGGAATCCTTTCTTTAAAGAAGGTAAAAAGAACATACTTTTTGTGATTCAGGCAACTCACTCATCTTTTCCTGAATGGAAATTTGGCAGAGGCATGAATAATCCACGCTGTCAGGCCATTAAAATGATAAAATATTGTCACTTTGCGATATAATTACATTTTAATTGTTGTTTGTCAACTGTTTAGATCTTTTCTTCAGAAAATATGTTTTGCTGCGGTGGGAAGATCTGATGTAGACTACACTAACAATGTTTCTCTCCATCTTTGTTCATTTTGTCTCTGCTCTAATCTTCCTGAAATGTCCCAATGTTAATAGTCAAGAATTAAATAAAAGTAATTTCAGTGAAGTGCAAAGAATCAAAGCATCATCCTAATAAAGCTGTGGTGATTCTGTTATAGCCAGAGAGGATGACGAAGGGGGCTGAGATATTTGCCATTTTAAAATGTACTCCAGGTGATTCTACAGTAGAACTATTTAGATAACAGGCTGAGATATTTTATTCTAATGTGCCTACTGTAGATGTTGATGTGAGCCTGTTGTCTATCTATCTATCTATCTGTCTGTCTGTCTATCTATCTATCTATCTATCTATCCATCTGTCTAGCTACTTGTATACATATACTTTTCTATTTGGATTGTATGAAATCTCATTAATTCTTCTTCTAGTAATTATAATTTTATATTGATTTAAAATTGAAAATTAACTTGTCTGTTGAATACTACCATGGGGAAGTTCTAAGAATAACTTGGTTTTAAACACTTAGAGAACAATAATCACCACTGGTACATATAAAATATCAATGTCTTCACCTAAAGTATTTTCTCATTGTAAATTTTTTTTCTCAAATTGTCAAACCTAGGTCAAGGGGATAATGAAAAGAGACAATTTGCATATTTATTTAACAAATGTATTTATTTTGAGTTCCTTCAATGTGTCAGTTGCTATGTTCCACATGAGCTATGCAAAGAATAAGAAGGATAAGTCTGGAGCAAAGGCAGACTCAGCCCCTACATGCACACAGCTTCTAATCTATGGACGTGGACAGACATTAATCAAATATCACATAAATTCCTAGATCAATAATATGTTTACTATGAAGAAGAGTTATATAGTGCTACAGGGGAAAAATCTAGAATATTTAATCCTTTCTGGTATTCAGCAATAGTTAAAGAGAGAATTGAAAGAAGCCTAGGAGTAAATTAGATATAGACTGTAAGGATGACTATTTCAGGAAGACAGAAAATGTACCAAGTGCCTGAGGTGAGTGAAACATGGCACATTTAAGGGATCAAAATAATGTGGCTGAATCCAGAGTAGAGGGAATGAGGAATGCAGTCAGTGGGCACAAGAGCACACAAGGCCTTGCTGAATTTTGCCAAATGGAAAGCCATTGAAGAGATGTAAGAAAAAAGTGACTAGGTCTAATTTGATGTCAAGATTTCTGATTGCTGAATTAAGCAACATGATGCCAAGGCTGTGTGTTAACTTATCACTGCATTCCCAACATCTAGCATTTTTTTCTGACACAGAGTTGGCATTCAATAAATATTAGAGTAATTAATGGATGAGGATGTGGATACAAAGGTGAGAAGAGGATTGCCTGCTTTTCATTTTATGGGTGACTTCTTTACTCAAAATAATTCAGGTAAACTGGATTAATTTTTTCTAAAAGATTAATCTGACAACTGATTGTTTAAGAAACAAGCATGAAAACGGAGGAAATATAATCTTGGAGGAAATCTTCAAATAATAGGAGAGAATGTTGGCATTGAATATTCCCAAGGGACGCTGTTCAGGAGGTAGCTAGTCATCAAAAAGTGAACTGTTCTAGAAATTTAAAACAATTTTGGATTATAAACATTGATTGGATTCGGCTAAAGGAAGTACAGGATTGACTGGGTGATTATCATTAGCAGGTTGTATTTGATCAACTTTAGAGTAAGTGTCATGTGGCAACGAGGAGAATGTATATTCTGTTGTTTTGGGGTGGAGAGTTCTATAGATAACTATCAGAATCTACTAAATAGATATCTTCTAGAGCCAGAGCTGAGTTCAGGTCCTAAATATCTTTATTACTTTTCTGTCTTGATGATCTGTCTCATAATGTCAGTGAGGTTTTAAAGTCTCCCACTATTATTGTGTGGGAGTCTAAGTCTCTTTGAAGGTTTCTAAGAGCTTGCTGTATGAATCTGGGTACTCCTGTATTGAGTCCATATACATTTAGTGTAGTTACTTCTTGTTGAATTGAACCCTTTACCATTATGTAATGCTCTTTTTTTGTCTTTTTCGATCTTTTTTGGCTTAAAGTCTGTTCTGTCAGAAACTAGGATTGCAACCCCTGCTTTTTCCTGTTTTCCATTTGCTTGGTAAATTTTTCTTCATCCCTTTATGAGCCCATAAGTGTCTTTGCACGTGAGATGGGTCTTTTGAAAACAGCATACCAATGGCTCTTGGCTCTTTCTCCAGCTTGCCACTCTGTGTCTTTTTATTGGGGGGTTTAGCCTATTTACATTTAATGTTAGTATTGTTATGAGTGGATTTGATCCAGTCATTATGATGCTAGCTGGTTATTTTGCACAGTTGTTTATATGGTTGCTTCATAGAGTCACTGGTCTGTGTATTTCAGTGTGTTTTTTAGGCCGATAACAAGTTTTTCTTTCCATATTTAATACTTCCTTCAGAAGCTCTTGTAAGGCAGATATGGTGGTAATGAATTCCCTCAGCATTTATTTGTCTGGAAAGGATTTTATTTCTCCTTCGCTTATAAAGCTTCTGGCCAGGGCAATCAGGCAAGAGAAAAAAAATAAAGGGTATTCAGATAGGAAGAGAGGAAATCAAATTTTCTTTGCAGATGACATAACCCTATATCTCGGAAACTTCCTCATCTGAGCCCAAAAGCTACTTAAGCTGATAAGCAACTTCAGCAAAGTCTCAGGATACAACATCAATATGCAAAAATCACCAGCATTCCTATACACCAACAATAGGCAAGCCTAAAACAAATCATGAATGAACTCTCATTCACAATCACCACAAAAAGAGTAAAATACCTAGCGATATGGTTAACAAGGGAAGCAAAGGACCTATTCAAGAAGAACTACAAACCACTGCTCAAAGAAATCAGAGATGACAGAAACAAACGAAAAAAATTCCATGCTCATGGATAGGAAGAATCAATATCGTGAAATTGGCCATACTGCCCAAAGCAATCAATAGATTCAGTGCTATTTCCATGAAACTATCATTAACATTCTTCAGAGAATTAGAAAAAAATGATTTAAAATTTATATGAAACCAAAAAACCTGAAGAGCCAAGGCAATCCTAAGCAAAAAGAAATCTGGAGGCATTATGCTATCTGACTTCAAACTATACTACAGTGCTACAGTAACCAAAACAACATGGTACTGGTACAAAAAAAAAAGACACACAGACCAATGGAAAACAATACAAAACCCACACATAAGACTGCATACTTACCACTATCTGATCTTTGACAAACCTGACAAAAACAAGCAATGGAGAAAGGATTCCCTATTTAATAAATTGTGCTGGGACAACTGGCTAACCATATGCAGAAAATTGAAACTGACACCCTTCCTTATACTACATACAAAAATCAATTCAACATGCATTAAAGACTTAAATGTAAAACCCAAAACTATAAAAATCCTAGAAGAAAAACCTACGTATTACCTTTCAGGACATAGGCACAGGCAAAGATATCATGACGAAGAGCCCTAAAGCAATTGCAACAAAAGCTAAAACTGACAAAGAAGTTCTGTTAGGTTGATGCAAAAGTAATTGCAGGTTTTGGCATTTATTTTAGTTGCAAAATCACAATTACTTTTGTACCAATCTAATAATTAAACTAAATAGCTTCTTCACAGTAAAAGAAACTATCAACAGGTTAAACAGACAACATACAGAATGGGAGAAGATTTTTGTAATCTATGCATCTGACAAAGCTCTAATATCCAGCATCTATAAGTATCTTAAATGTATTTGCAAGAAAAAAAAAACCTCATTAAAAAGTGGGCAAAGGACATGAACAGACAGACACTTCCCAAAAGAAGACATTTATGCAGTCAACAAACATATGAAAAAAAGCTCAACATCACTGATCATTAGAGAAATGCAAATCTAAACCACAATGTGATACCATCTCACACCAGTCAGAATGGCTTTTATTAAAAAGTCAAATACAACAGATGCTAACGAGGTTGTGGAGAAAAAGGAACACTTTTACACTGCTGGTAGAAGTGTAAATTAGTTCAACCGTTCTGGAAGACAGTGTGGCAATTCCTCAAAGACCTAGAGGCAGAACTACCATTTGATCCAGCAATCCCATTACTGGGTATATACCCAAAGGAATATCATTCATTCTGTTATAAAGACACATGCATGTCTATGTTTATTGCAGGACTATTCACAATAGTAAAGACATGGAATCAACCTAAATGTTCATCAATGATAGACTAGGTAAAGATAATGTGGTGCATATACACCACGCAATACTATGCAGCAATAAAAAGGAACTACATTCGTGTCCTTTGTAGGGACATAGACAGAGTTGAAGGCCATTATTTAGGCAAACTAATGCGGGAACAGAAAACCAAATACGACGTGCTCTGACTTATAAGTGGGAGCTAAATGATGAGAATACATGGACACATAGGGTTAACAACACACACGGGCCTATAGGAGTAGGGGGTGGGAGAAGGGAGAGGGTCAGGAAGTATAGCTAAGGGATGCTGGGCTTAATACCTAGGTGATGGGTTAATCTGTGCGGCAGACCACCATGGCACATGTTTACCTATGTAACAAACCTGCATATCCTGCACATGTGCCACTGAACTTAAAATAAAAGTTGAAAATAAAAAAATAAAATAAAATGCCTTTAAGAAGAAAAAAATAGTAGCAGCAACTAATATTTGTTAGAGTATTTCCTCTGTATCAAGACAGATTTTAAGCACATTGCAATGTCTTTATTGAATTAATATACCCATAATTGTCCTTTTAATTCTTACTGTGACATTTTGGGAAAGAGAGTGTTATTATCCCCGCTTTATAGCTAAAGAAACTGAATCACAACGCGATAAAAATAGTGCCCAAGCAGAAAGTTGACAGAAAACTGAATTGGGGTGTCTGTCATCAGAGTCTGAACACTTACTCATGTTATATATTCAGATGGAAGATATGTGATTATTCTTTGCTACAATGGAGAGAGAAACTAATTGTGATGAGGTGGAGAGAGAATGGGAAGCAAAAATATGGGAGGAAAAAAATAGAAAAACACTGTCTTCTTGGAGAAGGTTAGTACCTACGTGGTGGAGAAAGATTATAAAGCAAATAAACCAAGAACACAATGAAATAAATGTTTTAATTTTAAGTTGGGAGACAAGAGTGTTTCTATGCACAGGGACAAAAAGCTCAATACAGACAAGACATCAAGGATACTGATGTAGTCTAGGGATACTGAAGAGAGGATAAGTAATTTAAAAAGATTCATTATGGGTGGAGATGAACCTCAAAAGAATCCTGAATCACAAGTGCAAGGAAACAACCTAAGATAGTATGCCTCCATCTCTGAGGTTACCATAGGACAGAAGATAGAAGCAAATGACTGCGGGTAAGTTTGCAATGATGTAGTGAGGATGTGTATGGGTGCAGTGGTGGCGTTCCTGTGTATTAAGTCCTATTGTTTTTATAAAATGGAAAACAACTTCATATTGACAAAAAGTGAAAGTGGCAGTGGATGGTTTGATTACACACGTAATCTGAAGTATGACTATCAGTTGTAGAATTAAGGACGGTGCACATATCTCACCACCTTACATGGCTACAATTAATTAGAGGTCTGAAAAACAAAGGTAAAATTATATATGTTAATGTGTGTGCACATATTTAATTAATTTAATATTAATGGTTCATTCTATTTGGTGCATATACACACAATGCATATTTTCAAGATCAGAATCGTTTCAATTCTGTAAATGGTAAGTGATGATGTACTAAAAATATTCTTGACATTTAATAAGTTCAAATTGTCTTTCACTTTTTTCCTTGAATTTTTTTTTTTTGGAGATAGAGTCTTGCTCTGTCACCCAGGCTGGAGTGCAGTGGTGCGATCTTGACTCACTGCCGCCTCGGTCCCTAGTGCCCAAGTGATTTTTCCACTTCAGTCTCCCTGGTAGCTGGGACCACAGGTGAGCACCACCAAGCCTGGCTATTTTTTCTTTTTTCTTTTTCTTTTTCTTTTTTTCTTTTTTTTTTTTTTTTTTTGTATTTTTAGTAGAAACGGGGCCTCACCATGTTGCCCTGGCTGGTCTCTAACTCCTGAGCCCAAACGATCTGCCAGCTTCCGCCTCCCAAACTGCTGGGATTACAGGTGTGAGCCACTGCATCTGGCCTCCCTTGAACATATTTTTTAATGTAGTCTAGATTTCCTCTGAGGTATGTACATGTTGCATTCACGTAATTTTTTGATACTTCTGATTAGGATTATCAATCTCAGAGTTATTTAATTGCTGTATGCTTTAGGGCATAAATAATTGCAATTTCAAAAACCTGTATACCTGAGTGGATTTTAACCTTCAAGAGATACTCATTGAGATGGCAGAAAAAAGATAAAACAGTTCTTAAAAACCTATTCCTTATTTAATCTCTAAGGCAGTTCACTTTAGCCAGCTGGGCAGAACAGCTAATCTCCTCACAGATAGAAATCAGCACTGCTCTATAAATCCGCCAGCAGGACTGTCTGCAACGTTCCTGTCTGTATCATTCCTTCATCAGAAAATTGCCAAGTTGAATTCACTGGTGCATGGTGTGGTACATTGTAAATACACTTTGATAACTTTCATTCATTGTTTAATGAAGCCTGGCTGGGTGGAAAGGGGAAAAAAGATAAGGATGAATGCAATTGGATGTACTCTCTTTCCTCTGACATAAACCTCTTGTAGCTAGAGATGTGCTTCTCCTTAGCAGCCTTTCTCAAAGTCTCTTCTTATATGGCTCCTATTTGCACACTTTACAGAAGTGGATCCAAATATTATGTTTTCTTTAGGTTTCTGATTCTATTTGGCCTTCTGATTTTCAGCAAATACTGTTGTGTTGTCATTCCCTTCTAACTAATTCAACTGTAAATACAATGCAAATTAACTTAAGCCAAAAAATTTTAAACTTGTCCTTCGAGTCAACAAAGGATGCTTGAAGATATAACCTTACTGTAAAATGAAATATAAATCTTGATCTTGTCATTTAGGAGATCTATGACATTATCTCAACTCTTTGAAGTGTCAGTTTTCTTGTTTAAGCACTTTACAGGGTGATTATGGAAAACATGAAACGAGGTGAAAATTGTGCTCTAAGCTATGTCTGTCTAATAATTACTACTACCTCAATAATAACTACTATCTAATACTACCTCAATACTTCTTTTTCCTTGCCTTCTTTTCTTCCTATTTTTGCACCAGTTTTTAATTATACCTCCAGACCAATCCATGTGATGATTTTGATTTTGCTGCCATCTTTATTTCACGTTATTTGATTTAACTGGAAGCAAACTAAGAATGAAATACCGTGTGTATATTACAACACAATGTATATACTGTCTTCATGTTTCTTGGCAATCAACTTCCTCTTCCTGCTTCTTCAAGAGAAGACTTTTTTTAAGTTTACGTTAAATATCGTATTTGTAGTACAACATGTTCAGGTACATTTCAGTCATAAATATCTTTTGGATTATCTTTTTGGTTTCACTTATCAAAATATGCATTTCTATAACTTCTGAATGTGGAAAACCTATCAGTTTTATTTTCCTCTTAAAGTTGTAGCTTCTGATAGGATAAGACTTTTCAAAAATTAATTTACTGTGAATGTACTGATAATTTTCCTGAGTGTGTATCTATGTGTACTACAAGTGTATCCCTGCCTATAGGAGACATAAAACACTTTCATAACCAAGTACTGTGTATTTTTAAGATTTCCATACCCCACCATGGGTAAAATATTATCAAACCCTTTTATTTAACACATGATTTGAGATGGGTCTTAAGAGTAAACACTGAAAGTTATAAATTTGTTTTTTAAAGTTTAAGTAAATTATAAGATAAAAACATGAAATATGTTCCGCTACAACCATACTAGATTTATTCTACATACTATATTTCTGGTCTTTTAGTGGATTGTGTTTATTGAGGATTACATTGTCATTCCTTTGACTTGCATTTAGTAACACAATAAGGATCGAATGTTGTTTACTAACAGATTTTAACATTTTTAGACTTTGAACCACAAAGAGTAATAAATAAGTCATCCCAACCCATTGTGAATAATCACACACAGGCAAACACATGATCACAAACTATAAATAAGAAACAGTAGATTTCTAATTCTAATGGACTGCTTACAAAATATGAACATTCCTTAGGAATTTCATTATCAAAAAAAACTCAACTAAGTTTCTGTTTTATATTCTTATAAGGTTCTAAAGTCTGAAAAGTTATTCTTTTCAGCCACAGCTGATAGAGGAATTCCAAGTTTCAATTCAGTAATATCTATTACTATATTTTGGATGACTTTGACACGGAAACGCTATTGGGTAAATTATTTTTCATGCTGTTCATCTATAGGCATAATGATGAGCCTGGAGTAATAAATCGTTTGAAACTTCATTGAAAGCTAATTGATTGTTTTGACACATATATTCCTAAAATACAGTTTATGCAGTATTTGGAAACTAATGATCTGACGAAACATCTTGATGAATTAAGCTATATATATGCATGGGCTGTTGGTAAGTTTGTGTATGTATTGGGTATTTTTAATTATTTTATTTATGTCATATATACACATACACGTGCACACATATGCACAAAACACATAGATATACATATACACACATATGAGCTTGTGTATAATTATATATAAATAATAATAAGCATACTTTCTGTATAATATAATGTATACTTAAGCTATTTGAAATGAAAGATCTTTGCACTTATTTGTCCAGTGTTCAAATGACAGAAAGCAAACATGTAATATTTATTTGTATCAGTGTCCTTAGAATTATACACAATGAATAAGAATTACTTTCTTCTGTATAGAGAAATATATGATGAGAAAGCTTATGCATATACTCCGGTTTCCACAGACTGTCCATCATCCAGGCCAGACCTCTGACAAGGGCCACAAAGCATATTATAATACAAAAGCCTAGCTGGAGAAACGCTGCTTAAATTCATACAATTTTCCTGTGTTTTGACAAAATACCATAATATAAGTTAAATACTTTTCCAGAAAACAAAAAATTAATAATGATGTCAGTCACTATTCCTGGTCTAGGCCATTTTATTTAATGATTAAGATGACAATTTTATGTATGAAAATGTTGATATCGACCCTATCTACCCAATCTTGGAACTAAAATCTGGATGCTGGTGAAGCATAGGAATCAGACAAAGAAGAGGTCATGAAGAGTCTCTTCTCTTATTAGTTAGGAGAATAGAATTTTAGAACCTCTCTAAACTCTAAGAATAATTGACTCATACGGCAACTTGGCTAAACAGCATTTTCAATATCCTTGTATTTATAATGGTTATATAGTTCCAGAGAAGAATATAATAGGGTGATTTAAGGAATAATAGAAGTGATTAATGAGAAACAATTAAAAAGTCCTGAATATGTAAATCTGGCTGGGAAACGATTGATGGGAAAATGATAACTAACTATAGTAATATGAAATGGATTAATATTAGAGGAGAAAGTACTACTTTACAAGTTAGAAAGAGCAATGATATGTAAAAGTAATTAGGAGTTATAGGATGAAATTAAGAAACTAAAATTTAAAATGAAAATCAGTGTCAACTCATTGACAGTAAGCTGTTAAATTAGGATATAGAGCAGTAGCTAAAGAAAAGTAAGAGAAGCCCAATTGCCTGGGGAAGTAAAAAATTATGCCAGAATAAACACTTCTAGCAAGGGCTGAGAAGATAAACAATTTTATCAATAGCATTTTAGTTTCTTAGCTTATGCATCTGAGAATTAAAGAAATTACAAAAGTACTCAGAGTTCTAGTAGTTAAGCTTAGTGAATGTATCAGCTCATTTTTAACTTAATAATAAATACTTGAAAAGATGATGATGAAGGTATCTTTTAATGGTGAATTTATTATATTCCACTAAAAAAATTGTTTATCTTTATCATCAAAATGAAATATTATATTACACTACTTATTTGCTATTTAGATTTCCACCAGGATAACATAGTGCTTAAGGACACAGCTTATACACTTCCTCTGCCTGAGTTTAAATCCCAAGTACATCACTTACAGACTGTTGTCCATAAGGAGTTTCTTAACTGTCCTATGCCTTAGTTTCCTCATTTGTAGATGGGAACAATTATATCTCACACAGGTGTTGTGAAGGTTAAATAAATTAATATATGTTAATTGTTTAGGGCATAGGTCGGTGTTAAGTATTATATTTCAAAAATAATATTAAATTTTTTATCCATCAAATCTAAACCATGTAATAGCACCTTTCTGTACTCTGAAAACAGCTGTATTTGAGATGGAGAAAGAGCTATTAATCAAATTCCATGTGCTAGGAATTATTTTAGATACATGACTATGAAATGAATTAGATAATATTTTTTCTCTTAGGGAAAACTGGGTAGACATGATATATTGTTATAATACAAGATGTCAGCCCATACCAACTGTTAATGATATAGGTTTGCCTTAATTGTTATGAGTTTAGAAATTAAAAAGAACCAACTTTTCAAAGATGGGAAGGGGTCAGTGAAATATTTGCATGGGAAATTATTTTTAAACATGTGTGGACTTTGGATACTCAAGAAAATAAATTCAGCCAAAGGATTTATATCCACCCATATTGTCCTTCAAGTATGGAAATTATAACCAAAAAACTTTGAACATTACAATATGCTAATTACCTTAGTTTGATTATTACACGTTGTATGCATATGTCAATAGTTTACATTTTATCCCATACCCCGTAAATATGTATAATTATTGTGTCATTAAAAATAAAATGAAACTAAAAAAACTTCTGACCAGTTGGAATAATCTACCTAAATATTAGTTAGCACCTTTAATTGGGATCAATGTAAAATTCTGTATTTAGAAACAATAAATAATTATATTTCTTTGGGGGGGGTGGATTGAAGGATATTTTATTGGGAAGTAATGTATCTTACCAAGAAATACTTGTGGGTACTAATGGGTAATGACAGGCAGGAACACTGACTGTGATTAACATCAGGATCAGAGTAGTTTATCAGAATGTAAACATGTGCCTTAAAAACTGTAGAAACAATACCTCTTTTCCTAAGAACATAGGATTGTAAGTTTAAAAAAAATTTATTAGTAATAACTAAGAATGAAAAAATATAAGTCCGAGCTAATAAGTCAAATATTAGATCTATAAGCATTACTAAGAGTACAAAAGTAAACAAAAATTAAAAGTTACAAATATTTAAGTGAAATGGGAGAAGATGGAAACAGTCTATTTTATTTTAATTGCTGTTTATTGTATGGTGATAACACAATATTATCTAAACTTATAAGAATGGAGGTGGTCACTAGAAAAAAAATAAACAAAAATAGAACTTCACTCAAGGAAACCAGATGTATCTAAAACAAAAAAAAATAAGATCATAATAAAAATCCACATACATAAAAAGGAAAGTAAGAGATATGATTTCAGCACCCACAGTGATGGGATCCAAACTGAAATCATAAAAAGAAGGAACAGAAAAACACTTTACAATCCTAAAGTGAGCCATTCACTGTGAGTATGTATCTCTGTTGCATGTTATTGACCAACATTCACAAAGAAGAAATCACAATATATACAAAGAAATATGTCTATAAACAGAATTGTAGAGGGTTATAGCTCACAAATTTCAGTCTGTGATAGATAAAGTATTTTAAAATATGAATAATCAAATAATGTAATTAATAAGGAGGTTGATAGATTTAATAAATCATTCTCTGCATTCTGGGGCTATATCATTTAATTCAAGCGCCTATAGAATATTTAGTAAAACTGACTAAATATTACGTATTAGTCTTCAAGACTATCTCATTAAAGGACTCAAAGTTAAAATAGTACAAATAAAATGCTCCTTTCCAAATACAACTAAAAGTTAGTGAAAAACATCAGAAAACAAATAATGACCTTAAACTGAAAATGTATTAACTGCAACAACCACAACCTTCTTCTTCAGGAATTCTCAAATCACAGAAAAAAAAAGGCAAACAAATTGCAGAATTTCTAGGAAAAAAACTATAATGAGAAAGAACATATATGGAAATTATGGGATACAAATTAAGTGCTTCTGAAAGTATACTTGTAATTCTAAACATATCAAAGACATCGACTAAAAAGAATAATATTAGATGAATTAAATATGTAACTAATAATGGAGAATAAAATAAGAAAAGGAATAAAGAATAGTAAACAAAAATATATATTCAAACCTGATTTTTTGGAAGGAAAGTTTAAAAAAAAAACCTAAACTAATCTTATTAAGATACATGAAAGACATAGAAAATAAGCAGCTTGAAAACATTATAACAATATTTTCTTAACTCTACACAAATAAATTTAATATGAAGGATTTCGAGGGAAGGTTGCTAAAAGCAACTTCAAAGAAACAGAAAACACACATAAACTGATTTCTGAATAAGAAAATGAGAAGCTTGTGAATTTTCCCTAAATATATCAGACCCAATAATTCACTAAGGAATTCTGTCAAACCTGGAAGAGCACATAACTGCAATACTATTTAAAGCTTTCAACACACTGAAAAGAAAGAAAATTTCTACTATGTTTCTACATAAAGCAGACAAATTTACATTCGTTTCCTAGGAATGCTCTTACAAATGACCATAAACTGAGGAACTCGAGAAACCAGTGTGCTGTCTCACAGTCCTGGAGGCCAGAAGTCTGGAATCAGGAGTTGGTGGGACTGCACTTCCTCTTTCCTTGGTAAACTCTAAGGACCTGTCCATTCCTCACCAATTCCAGCTTCTGAAGGCTCCAGTTGTTCCTCAGCTCATGGCTACATCACTCCTCTCTCTGCCTCTGTGGTCATATGACCGCATCACATTTTCTCTGCCAAATCTCCCTTGGCCACTCTTATAAGGACCCTTGTCATTAAATTTAACACCTACCTAAATAATCGAGGATTATCACCTCTTCTTATAGTTTACTACATAAGTTAATTGCATGATTTGCCATATTCATATTTGTTGCAGGGTTGCCGTCAGGCCTCTATAGCCTGTCTCCACGAAAGCCATGTCCTTCCCATGTGTACAGTAGTGTTTACCCCATCCCAACATCCCTAAAATATCAATCTATTACAAAATCAATTCTAAGTCCAAAATCTTATCTGTTTATCATCAGGTCAACATTTCTAAACTCATCATCTCAATCTAAATCTCATTATCTTAATCAGGTGTGGGTGAAACTCTAGATAGTTTGAATCCTAGCATGAAAATCTTCATCTGTGGACCTGTGAAATTAGAAAACAAATTATCCTTATCTAAAATACAATGGTAGGAGAGGCATAAGATAACAGTTATAAACACTGACATTCCAACAGGGGGAAAATGGAAGAAATAAAAAAGTCACAAGTTCCAAATATGTTTAAAACCCAGCATGGAAAATTCCATTAGGTTTCTTTTTTCCTAAGTTTTATTTAATATTTAATTGACAGAAAATAATTATATATATTTATGATGTACAATGTGATTGGTACATGTCTGTTACTTCAAATATTTATCATTTACATGTGGTGAGAACATTTAAAATTCTCTCTTTTAGATATTTTGAATGGTACAATGCATTATTATTAAGTGTAGTCACTGTGCTGTATATGGAACACCAGAACTGATTCCTCCTACCTAACTGTAACATTGTACCCATTAACCAATGTCTCCCCTTTTCCTACTCACCTCTCTATTCCCAGCCTCTGGTAACAACCATTCTACTTTCTACTTAAATGAGTTTGACTTTAGATTCCATATGTAACTAAGATCATATGGTATTTGTCTGTCTGTGCCTGGCTTATTTCACTAAACATAATGTTCTCTACGTTCACACATGTTGTTACAAATGACAGAATCTTTTTTTAAGTAACAGACTAAATAGTATTCCACTGTGTATCTACACCACAATTTTTTAAAATCCTTTTATTCGTGGATGAATACTTTGTTTTTTTCCATATCTTGTCTAATGTGAGTAATGCTGCAATTAATATAAGGGTGCAGCCATGTCTTTGGGATACTGATGTCAGTTCCTTTGGCTATATACCCAGTCAGGGGATTGCTGGATCCTATGGGAATTCTACTTTCAGTTTTTTGAGGAACCTTCATACTTTTTTCCAAAATGGCTGTACTAATTTACAAAACCACAGTCCTGTGTTTCCTTTTCTCCACATCCTTGCCAATACTTGTTATCGTTCATGTTTTTGATGATAGCCACTGTAAAAGGCATGAGATGATATTTCACTGTGGTTTTAATTTGGCACTTTTCTGATATTTAGAGATATTGAGGAATTTTTCATATATATGTTGCTCAGTTGTATGTCATTTTTTGAGAAATATCTATTAAGTGATTTGCCCATTTTTTGAATAGAGTGATTTGTATTTTTTTTTTGAGTAGTTTGAGTTCCTTCATTATTTTGGATATTGGCCCTTATCCGATGTACAATTTTCAAATATTTTCTTCAAATCATGTATTATCTCTTCATTCTATTACTTGATTTCTTTGCTATGAAGAAGCTCTTTAGTTTGATCATTCCCACTTGTCTATTTTTGCTTACTTTGCCTATTTTTTTTAGTTATAGACAAGTAATCTCAGCCTAGAACAATGTCATGAAGGTTTCCCCTCAATTTCTTCTTCTAGTAGATTTATCGTTTTAGGTCTTACATTGTCTTTAATCCATTTTGAGCTGATTCTTGTAAGGCTCAATACTTTCCTCTCTGAGTCTGTAGCTCTGCTTGCCACTGCCCCTACGGGTACTTTGCATAAAGTACCCAAAGTCTTCTATGTTTCCCCTGGAAGAAATCTTCATCACCTATAACTGCAAAATTATGATTTCTGGACATTAAACCTAGAGTTTCATCCTGCAAGTGGTTGAATTACAATATAAATTGAGTGTCCAATCATGTAGGGGTATCTTTCTTCTGGGGCAGGCTAGGGCAGCCACAAAAACTGAAAAAAGTGAGGAATGGATTGTCTAGAGTTCCCAGAGAGGGTGTGGTTCTGCCACATTTCTGACTTAGTGACTTCAGAACTTCAAGGTAATTTCTGTTGTTACAACCCAACCTGTTTGTGGCAATTTGTTATGTCATCCCTAGGAAACGAATATAGTAGGATTAACAGAAAATAATAAGCCAATACAAATATTAAGCAACATTAAGCAGCTTCATTTCTCAGCACCCACAGGACAATTCTAAGCACCATTCCAGTAAAACAAAACACATTGCAAATGGGATGATTCCAGGAATGCTCAGATAGTTGAGGGATAGACAAATAATTATGCTAGACTGAACCATATGAAATGATCTTTTGTATATGTCATCATACATTTTTGATATCAGCAATTTCATATGAGTTAAACTAACTTTTGAAAAAGGACAGGAGTTGTGAATACATACCCATGTTATACTTGCTGGTAGTTTCTCTCTTCCCTACCAAGTGAGTTTGATACCAACCACCATCATCACCATGGTGAATGTTGGAATATGAATGCATGCTAATTAGCATTGTCAAATAAAGTACAGGACATCTAATTACATTCTAATTTTAAATAACCAATAAATTTTTCTACAACTATGTTTCTTGTGATAAATGACAATTAATATACTAAAAACCCTACAGTTTATCCTAAATTTAAATGTAACTGGGCATCCAGTAGTTTAAATGATTGAATTTGGCAACACTGAAAATAGCACTCATTAAGTATGAGCATCAGTGATATGGTTTGTTTTTTGTTTTGTTTTGTTTTGTTTTTTGTCTGACTCTGTCACCCAGGCTGGAGTGCGGTGGCATGATCTCGGCTCACTGCAACCTCCACCTCCTGGGTTCAAGCGATTCTCCTGCCTCAGCCTCCCGAGTAGCTGGGACTACAGGCGTGCACAACCACACCCGGCTAATTTTTGTATTTTTAGTAAAGACAGGGTGTCACCGTGTTAGCCACGATGGTCGACCTCCTGACCTCGTGATCCGCCCACCTCGGCCTCCCAAAGTGCTGGGATTACAAGCATGAGGCACCGTGCCTCACCTGGGATTTTTTTTTTTAACTAAGAAAGCGTGGAAGACAACTTTAATAGTTTACTCAACTATTTAAAAGGTGTGGAAGATGGGTACTTGAGTAGTTTTCCCAGAGTTACAGTAATAGAAAAATAATCACTATAATACTAATACTATAAATACCATTTTTTTTGGGTAAAACCAAATAATACAATAATTTCTATTATATATATAACTCTAAAATATCCAGGCATAAATAAATGAGTATAATTTTCTCACAGTTTCCCTGTACCGGCAATTCAGCCTCACCAGCTTTTCTTCACAAATGAGGTTGTTAAAATATTTCCAGTTGCGTTAATTCAACTGCTTCTAAATTCCTGTCCCAACCTAAAATAATCTACTCATTTTTTTCATGGCTCCACATGGTTTCCATCCATCCGTCAGTTCTGGCAAAGAAGTCCCTCAAAATGTTTACCCCCACCCTGGAGTAGTAAAATATATATTAGATGATCGTCAACCTGAAACCATATGTCCACAGAAACAGCCTGCACCGTAGCAGTAGGTAGGTTAGTATTGAGGCAAATGGCATCTAACTTGCCAGGGGACCTGCTAAGAAATGGAACAAGAGATGTGTGTCATCTTGGATGCAGAGCTTGATAATAATATCAGATAGGACGGGAGGTGGCCCAAATCCCTCCACAAATTTCATTGAAAAGTCCAAAAGATGTGAAAGCCAAAAATAATAAATAAGTGGAGGTGATTGTTTTAAAATCCAGTGTTATTGTGAGAAAGAAATGTTAAGCATTCCTAGAAAAGTATGTAACTCTGATTTTTAGTTCTAAGGTCTTAAATACCCATATTCAGTGAGAAGAACCTTAGACATCATCAAGCCTTCCACATGCAGCAAGTTAACTCCAAAAATTATAGACATTGATCTAAAACTAACAGTAAACTTTCCAGGTATTCGTATTTCCATGAGCAGGATGCACGATTCTGACTGTCCAGCTCTTATAAGCCAAGAGGGACCATTTTTGTCCACCCAGTTGCTGATAGGCAGCAAGTATGTACCATTTCTAGGACGAGTTATTTAAATTTTGATGGGGCTTATTGATAAATTAGTCATAGGCAAATTCTCACTTGTTAATGTAAAGGAGGAAGGATTCAAGGAAAGAAAAAGTTTAATGTGTGGATCCAATTAAGAGTATGCAACTCCTCGGCCGGGCATGGTGGCTTACGCCTGCAATCCCAGCACTTTGGGAGGCCTAGGTGGGTGGATCACGAGGTCAGGAGATCGAGACCATCCTGGCTAACACGGTGAAACCGCGTCTCTACTAAAAATACAAAAAATTAGCCGGGCGTGGCGGCAGGCGCCTGTAGTTCCAGCTACTCGGGAGGCTGAGGCAGGAGAATGGCTTGAACCCGGGAGACGGAGCTTGCAGTGAGCCGAGATCTCACCACTGCACTCCAGCCTGGGTGACAGAGAGAGACTCCGTCTCAAAAAAAAAAAAGAGTATGCAACTCCTCAAACAAGATAGGTATTAGTTATTTTGGCAATTTATTTCTAGTGTGATAGGTCATAAACTTCAGAAGCAACTCCTTGAAAAATATATAATCTGAAATTCATAATGTTTGTGTCATATATAAATGCATGTGTATTGTATATATGATCAACTTCTGATAATTTGAATTTTTTAAGATATAAAGATACATATTTTTTTGGAAACTGGTAAAATATTGTAGTGGCTTATCCTCATCAATGTCCCTGTGACCCTAGTTTTCTAGGTTCTTAATATATGGTTTGGAAATGAAATGATATTTTGCCTTTTGTGTAATCTCCAACCCCTGGGAAGGCCAATTTTCCAAGGCAATTCAGAAAAATTGGGGAACTTATTATAAGTATTATAGTACTGATCATTCTGTTTACAGGATCCTGATAAGGATCCTCTTTCTAGTTAGCTTTTGCTTGGTTGCTATGAACTGAAGGGATGTTTCTTCCCTCAAAATTCATATGTTGAAATCTAATCCCCAGTGTGATATGATGGTATTTGGAGGTGAGGTCTTTGGTACATAATTAGGTAATTAGAGCGAAACCTTCATGAATGGGATTTGTGTCTTTATAAGAAGAGACAAGGGAGAGATGGTTTCTCTGTTGTGTGAGGATACAGCAAGTAAGAGGCCGTCTGTAAACCAGAAAGAGGATGCCTACCAGACACCAGCTCTGAAAGGAACGTTGATGTTGGCTTAAGCCACCCAGTGTATGGTATTCTGTTATAGCAACCTGAATTGACTATGATATTGACCCTTAATGTAAAGGACAATGCCTCAATTTCTCTGCAGGGAATGACCATTCTGTTCCTGCCAAAAAAAGACACTTTGAGATTGAAGCAGGCTTGTACAAAATCAGTGGCATAAATAGAAATGAAAATTCTCTATTCTGCTGTTTCTCACAGATCTTTAACAGGAAGACCAGCATCAGTGGATACTTCATCCAGTTTAAAATGGAAGACTGGTCTCCGAATCACCTTCACTCACCTCACCATGGGAGCTTTTAACTTTTAAAACTACATCCGTTCATCTTAGTTTCACACAGCCTTTTATATCAATCATGCTAAACACTTTCCAAATGTTTAGTTCTTATCTGAAAAAGCACTTCCTCTTGAAAACATTACCTAGCAGTCCTCACACATTCCTGAATCGGAGTTTGTATTCCTCCTATTGATGTCCATAACACCAAATACATATTATTGCACTAAATACAAAATGCTGAGGTTCCATTTATGCCTTAGATGTTATTATTAAAATAATCTTCATAGTTCGTTTTAGAACAAAGCTAGAATGACTTATCTCTCTCTCAATTATTTTATTCTAAAAAGGAAAAAATAATGCATATTTGAAAAGTAATGAAAGTCATAATATGACTTTTTTTATAAAAGTCATAATCTTATTTTTTTTCCCCACAGCCACTGAACTATGAGAAAAAGAAGTCATATACCCTCAACATAGAAGGAGCAAATACACATCTTGATTTTCGCTTTTCTCACTTGGGTCCTTTTAAAGATGCTACTATGCTGAAGATCATTGTTGGGGATGTAGATGAACCACCACTATTTTCCATGCCTTCCTACCTCATGGAAGTCTACGAAAATGCCAAGATTGGGACCGTCGTTGGTACAGTTTTGGCACAAGATCCTGACAGTACTAACAGCTTAGTAAGGTATGGCATGCTTCAATCGTTTAGACATAGAAAGATTTTTATTGCCTCTCACATTAATTAAACTTGAATAAAATTACACTTAAAATGTTTTATTTCTACGTTGTTTTCTACGAATATAATTAAATTATAATATTAATTGATTTTAACTGTGTAGCTTAGCAGTTGGATTTTTGTCACATTAAGAACATATTTTGCTATCTCCATGAATGTCTTATTGACCACATGTTAATTTTTTCATTTGACTTAATGGATGTGAGCGTAATTGATTGAGAAAATTGTTGTAGAGCTATTTAATCACAAACTAGAGAATCTATTGCTCCCTTAATGATAGGAAGTATAGATATAGTACAAAGCGTGATGATTTGGGGATAACACTCATCTCTAACTGACTCTGGTTCCTTTGGTCAGCCTAGCTGTGTGGCTTTCTCTTTATATGTAAAAGTGGAAAAATAATGTCTGTGTCTCAGAGCTATCGTGAGGATGCATGAAGCAATGTGCGTAAAGCACTCAGCAAAGTGGCCTGCACCTAGTAGTCACTCAATAAATGCTAACTTGTGAAAGACAGTATAGGGTGCAAAAAACTCTGAATACAGGAAAATCAGCGTGGGAACTCTATTGTGTCTGCTTACTAGCAGAGTGATCTTTTACAGTCATTCAGTCATGTGGAATCTCAAATTCCAAATATGTGAACAAAGAATAATAATGCTACATAAATATGTTGATAGGATTTAGTTAGATTAAAGGACTTAACACATTGCCCAGCATATAATAAGTGCTCGCTAAATAATACTTGTATTAGTTTAGTACATCATGCTGGAGAGATAATCAAAGCTTTTTTGCATTATCAAAGGAGTTTTTTTGTGTCCCTCATTTATAACAAAATCAGAAAGGCTGCATACATGTGTAAAACTTCTTGGATATCCTGTATTTATACTCATGGAAATCCTGTCTCTAGAAAGGTTAAAATCCTTAATAATCTTTCTAATTTTTACCATGAAATCCTTGGTTTTCATTCACTTAACAAAAGCTAATATACTAAATAGTCTCCTCAGTATCTGTGGGATATTTGTAAAAGCTCTGAATTTTCTTTTTCATAAGCATGACTGTTTCAGTTAAAAATAATTCCCCTAGCACCCATGCATGTAGTGAAGCAATTTTCTGTGCACAAATGTAGATATTCAACAATCCTACTCCATCTGCAAGTATAGAAACTGTATCCTGTCACACTAACAGCAAGAGCTAGATAATGCTTGAAGAAGGAGGATCGGTAAACTATGCAAAATAATATGCATAAACCAAGTTACAGAAATCAGTCTCTAACTAAGGAATAGAAATCAAAGTTAACATGTTTCATTGCTTAACCAAAGGAAAGCCCGTTTTGCTTCAACATTCCATAGAATGCCATGTTTTTAATTATACTTTTGACCCCAAACAGTAAGTATGATTTGTTCAGGTTTAAAAAAAAATGTAGCACCATAAAAGATCTGTACAAATGAGGCTTTCTTTACCAAAAGCACCCAATATCTTTTGGGAATAGAGATAGGTCATGATATAAGTTTGCTGTGAAAATATTAAATAAACATTGACAATATTTTTTTAAAGGTGATACTAATGATAATTTCTGTAATTATTTAAAAAAACAGGAAGTGCAACCATTAGTTTAATTTATTTTTTATTAATACAAAAAAGTTGTACATTTGGTGGGATACACGTGATAATTTGACATATTCATATGATCAAATCAGGGTAGTTGTGAAATTCATCACCTTAAATATGTATCGTTTCTTTACACTGAGAACATTCAAATCATTATCTTCTAGCTGTTTTAAAATGTACAATCCAGTGGGTACCAATATGTACATTTAGGTGGAAGAAATAGAACCTAGTGTTTGATAGATCAGTAGGGTGACTATAGCAATCACTCTTAGACTATGTTTTAATCACTTGTAACGTGCGATATTATAGTAGTCCTCATGATAAAGAATTATACATGTGCACACACACATAGACACACATACACACAGCATCTTGAACTCCAGGGAAGAAATAGACTTGGAAAAAATATGCATTGTGTATCATGCATAATTCTCCACAGAAAGAGAATGAAATACCTGGGCCCTGTGGCCCAGCCAAGTTGACATGTACAATTAACCATCACACTGTGTTTAGTGTAATAATGGTCTGAGGGAGGTGTGCATGGAGAATGTATTCCAAAACTTTCTGGAGGCAATGAGCTGAAGAAAATTGAATTGAGGCTCATAAACCAATTAGAAATTAGAGAAATGAAGAATGAAGGAAAGAATTGTAGTTTGCTGTACATGAGGAGCTTGGGTTACCTGTGGGAATAGCAAGTAATGAGATTGGAGAGATAGATTAGATACAGATCATGAAGAGGCTTTCTGCAATGGTAAGGTCTTTGAAATTAATCCTGGCAGCAATGCCAATAGGGAGAGAAATGAGAGGAACTTTGATAATTATAACCAAAACAATGATAGGAAAATTTGCATTTCAAAATAAACAATATTTAAAATCAAGTGAAAGGTAGGCCAAGGGGGAGAAATTGAGGTCAAGGACAAAGATGTTTTAGCATTATTCTATATGTTCCAACATATATGAAAACACCCCTTCCCACATAGGACTGTGATTCTCACATGGGGGCAAAATCCACCCCCCTGCAAGGGACAGTTGAAAATGTCTGGAGAGATATCTAGTTATTACATCTTGGGATAGTGTCTTAGTCACTTTACGCTGCTATAACAAATTACCTTCGACTGTGTGGTATAAACAAAAAACATTTATTTCTCACAGTTCTAGAGGCTGGGAAGTCCAAGATCAAAGGGCCAGCCTATCTGGTATCTGGTGTGTGTCTGATTCCTGGTTTGCAGAGAGCCCTCTTCTCCCTATATTTTCACATAGTGAAGAGCAGAAAGAAAGAAAGCAAACTCTTCCATTTCTTTTTACGAGAGCACACATCACACAATGAATGTCCCACCAATTTTCTCCTTTAGTCAGTTTGGCTGCTAAGAAGAATTATCATAGTCTTGGTGGCTTATAAAAAACTGCAATTTATTTATCACAGTTCTTGAGTCTGAGAGTCTGAGATTAGGTTGCCAGAATTGTCGGGTTGTGCTAAGTGCTCTCTTCTGGATTGCAGACTACCAACGTCTCGTATTCTCACATCTTGGAAAAAGGTAGCTAGCTCCAAGCTCCTCTTGTAAAGGCACTAATCCATTCATGACAGTTCCATTTTCATGACCTCATAATCACCTCCAGAAGTTTGTACCTCCACATGCCATTACATCGTGGATTACTGTTTACTATACGAATTTGGGGGAGGGGGATAAAAGCATTCAGCTTGTAGCAGGTAGGGTGTTACTGGCATCTAGGGGTGGAAGTCATGGATGGTGCTAAACATTCTGAAACTCACAGGACAACTCCCACAGAAATTATCTGGCCCCAAGTCAATAGTGCTAATGTTGAGAAAACCTGACATAGACTAAAACAAACTGACTGGCAAATTGGTAGAACTGGAGTACTAATTGTATTCATGGGAAGAAATTTTGAAAAGATATTTCAGAGATAGGTGTCTATATATACAAATCATATACATGAATAGTCATGTGAATGTTTCAATGTGTACTTTCAATCAATTAAAATATGTCACTAATTGTCTCAGTAATTGTCCTATATCACTGAGAGCACTTAAATGAACACTCATATGAAACATGCACTCTCCTGGTTGTTGGGATGCAAAGATGATTGGTACATAGTTTCCAAATGCTAAGAAGGGAAGCAGAAATCTATTAGCATATGAAATATTCTTTCTGCTTTGTTTTGGTTAGAGAACTAAAATGAATCCTGCTAAAGCTGCCTTAAAATAATTAGACTCCATAGCTGCTGTTTGGGGACATAATTTACATAATATTTATTCTTGATTTTAATAAAAATGTGTCATTCACATGGGCCTCTGGGTGCAAATAGTGAATAAAAAAACAGAAAACATTAACAAAAACAAAAGCAAGCCTATACTTCCACCTTTCTCAGGGACCAAATGTTTGTACTAATTAAGGAAAAGCACATTGAAAAGATGTACTTTGCAATGTGCCCTGAAATGCAATCAACTCCAAGTTTGTAGAATTGGTAATGAAAGGGAGTTTGAGCTTTGCAAGCATTTGTGAAAAGCTTCCTGACTTCGGTCTTTTGTATTTTACTATTGTACTTTTGTACTTCAGTCTTTGTATTTTACCATTGTCCTTTTATAAATTATTAGTAAGACTCTTCAGATTTCATAGAGAATATAATGTCTAGGTTTTGTCTGTTTCAACTCTAAACAAGATGTGTAATTTGCAGCAATATAAAGTATATATAAAATGTAAAATAAATTATTATCTAGTGTAGTCACCATGTCAGGCTATCAAATACTAGCTGTTGTTCCTTCTAACTACATTTTTTACCCAGTAATCATCCCCAATTACCTGCCCCACCACCACTACCCTTCCTAGCCTCTGACAACCATTATTCTACCCCCTATCTCCTTGGGTTCAATTGTTCTAATTTTAGCTCCTACATATGAGTAACAACATGTGAAGTTTGTCTTTCTGTGCCTGGCTTATTTCACTTAACATAATGTCCTGCAGTTCTATCTATGTTGCAAATGATAGAATCTTATTCTATTTTATGGCTGAATTACTGTATTGTGCATATGTACCACATTTTCTTTATCCATTCATCTATTGATGGACACTTAGGTTGCTTTCAAATCTTGGCTGTTGTGATTAGTGCTGCAGTGAATATGGAGTGCAGATATCTCTTCAGTGTACTGGTTTCCTTTCTGATATGGTTTGGCTGTGTCCTCACCCAAGTCTCATCTTGAATTGTATCTCCCATAATTCCCACGTGTTGTGATAGGGACCTGGTGGGAGATAATTGAATCGTGGGGGCGGTTTCCTCCATAGTGTTCTCGTGGTAGTGAATAAGTCTCACAAGATATGATGGTTTTATAAGGGGTTTCACCTTTCACTTGGCTCTCATTCTTTCTTGTCTGCCCCCACGCAAGACGTGCCTTTTGCCTTCCACCATGATTGTGAGGCCTCCCCAGCCACGTGTGAATCCATTAAACCTCTTTTTCTTTATAAATTACCCAGTTTCAAGTATGTCTTTATCAGCAGCATAAAAACGGACTAATACATTTTCTTTTTCATATAAACATAGCAGCAGGATTGCTGCATCATAGGGAGCTCTATGTTTAGCTTTTAAGAAACTGTCAAACTGTTCTCCATAGTGGTTGTACTAATTTACGTTCCCACCAACAGGATATGGGGGTTCCCTTTTCTCCACATCCTTTGCCATCATTTGTTATTGCCTGTAATTTTGATATAAGCCATTTTAACTGGGGTGAGATGATTTCTCATTGTAGTTTTGATAGGCATTTCTATGATGATCAGTGATGTTAAGCACCTTTTTATATGTCTGTTTGCTATTTGTATGTCATCTTTTGAGAAATGTCTATTCAGATATTTTGCCCATTTTTTATTCAGATTATTAGATTTTTTTTTTCTATAGATTTGTTTGAGCTTCAATTATATTCCGGTTATTAATCCCTGGTCATATGGATAATCTGAAAATATTTTCTTTCATTTTGTGGGTTGTCGCTTTCCATTGTTGATTGTTTTCTTTGATGTGCAGAAGCTTTTTAACTCGATGTGATCCCATTTATCTATTTTTTATTTGGTTGACTGTGCTTGCAGCATATTACTCAAGAAATCTTTGTTCAGATGAATGTCCAGCAGAGTTTTCCCAACGTACTCTCTTCAGTTTCACAGTGTGAGTTCATAGACTTAAGTTTTAATACATTTTGAATTGATTTTTGCATATAGCTAGAGATGGGGGTCTGGTTTCAATTATGTGTATATGGATATGCAGTTTTCCCAGCACCACTGAAGAGTCATTTATTGTAGTTATTGCAGACTGGGCTTATTTGTGCCTGTCATTCTTGGGGACTCTTCCAAGTACTCAAAGGGGATTAATTGGGTGTTATTATCTAAGTCTTTGGTCATTGCAGCTATATCTGCATTAGGGGGTACCCCAAGCCCAGTAATGCTGTGACTCTGAAGACTTGTGGAGGTACTGCTGTAGTGGTCTTGGGTAAAATCTAAGATAATTCCCTGGATTACTAGGCAAAGACTCTTGTTCTCTTCCCTTACATTCCCCTAAACAAATGGAGTTTCTCTGTCCATGTTGATCTGCCTGGAGCTCAGCAGAGGAGTGACATAAGCATCACTGTAGCCACCAATACCAAGACTGCACTGGGTCATAACTGAAATGAACATATCACTGGATCTCACCCAAGACCATTGATTACTAATGCCTGGCTACTACTGATATTCCCTTAAGGCCCAGGGCTCTTCAGTTAGCAAGGAGTGAATCCAGCCAGGATTGTGTCCTTCCCCTCGATGTTGCCTCTCATGTTCCACAGCCCAGGGCAGGTCTAGAAATGCTGTCCAGGAGCCACAGCCTGGATTCGAGAACCTTAGGAATCTACTTGGTGCTCTATTCTACTGTGGCTGAGCTGACACCCCAGCCACAAGACAAAGTTCTTCCCGCTCTTCCCTCTTCTTTTCTCAAGCAGGAGTTTCTCCCCATGTGGTATGTACTGCCTGGATACCACCCATCTTCACTCAAGGCCCATGGGCTCTTCTGTCAGCTTGTGCTGAACACTGCCTGGACTGAGTCTCTTCCTTCAGGGCAGTTAGCTCCACTCTAGCCCAGGGCAGGTTTAGAACTTCTCTCCTCTGAGCCAACGCCTGGAATCAGGGACCCCAGGAGCCTGCTTGATGCTCCACCCCTCTGTGGTCAAGCTGGTATCCAAGCTGCAAGACAAACTCCCCTTTATACTTCCCTTTCCCGTCCTTGAGCAGGAAGAGTCTCTCCCCATAGCCACCATATCTGTTAATACCCTGGGTTACACCTGAGTCTCATTCTCATCAAAAGCCCACGATGAGTAATGTCTGGCTACAGTTGATGCTTACTCAAGGTCCAAGGGATCTTTAGTAAGGAGGTCATGAATTCCACCAGGACTGGGTTCTTCCCTTCAAGGCAGCAGGTTCCCTTCTGGCCCAGGTGTATCTAAAAATGTTGTCTGAGAGCTAGGGCCTCAGGATTCTGTCTGCTGCCCTATTCTACTGTGGCTGAACTTGTATCCAAGTTGCAAGATGAAGTCCTTTTTACTCCTTCCTCACTTCTACTCAAGTGGAAGGAAGGGATCTCTCCCAGAGCTGCAAGCTGCACTGCCTGCGGTTGGGGGAGGAGTGGCAGAAGCACTCCCTTGACCACGCCAGCTGGCTTCTCACTATGTCACCTGCACTCCAGATCCACTGGCTCCAAGCCCAGCACATCACCAAGGCTTACTCAGGAATTACAGTCCTTCTGGCCCAGACTGCCTTTCAAGTTCATTAAGGACCCTGGAGTGCTTTAGCCCACAGTGGTGGGGCTAGCCAGAACTCAGGTTTTGACCACTGGGTTGAGTTATTTCTCTCTAGCCTGTGCTGGTCTAAAGGCTTACTCCATAGGTTGCAGGATGTGTTCTGTCACTTTTTGCTTTCTGCCATAACAAGGAAGTAGTGACTTCCAATGCAAAGTCTCATAATCATTGTGTTCTCCCTCCCCAAAGTGCACAGATTCTCTCTTTGTGCTCTGCTGCCACTACCAGGGTATGAGGGAGGGGTTGTGTAAGCCATTCAAGGCTGTCTTTCCTGTGCTCTTCAGTGCCCCATTCATTAATATAGTGTTAATACCAAGTACTGTGATCAGTCACCTGATTTTTAGTCCTTATGAAGGTGTTTCATGGAAAGTTCTTCAATTCAGTGTTCCTGCAGGGTTGACAATCTTTGTAGGGTTCTATACTGCTATCTTGCTCCACCTTCTTCTCCAATCATCACCTTTTTGAAAAAATAAAATTAGAGCCTGGCTGTTTACCAGCAGTGAAGCCTTTCATTTAAACAGGCTACACCATTTGCTCACAAATTACAAATAGAATTCAGGAATTTCACAGATTAGCTACTGAGAGATGAGCAATCCCATGTTGAAAACAAGAAGCTAGAGAGCTTTTGGGAATGTAGCTTTATGACACATGACTGTTAAATTGTTACCATTCATTGTCTTCTGTCTGTTGGCCATGGACCTTATATATCATTCCATAAACTGTTTCACAACACTGAAACTGTCTGTATTATTGATTCCATTCTATAGATGAAGAAACTAAAGTTCAAAAAATTAACTAACTTGATTCTGTTTTCAGTGATAACATGACATTTTAATGCAAATCCAATTTTGCTTTACTCTGAAAACTTTCTTTTTGTAGCCCAATATGCTCCCTATTATACTATAACTAATAAAAAATAAAAACAAACAAACAAAATGACTACATTTACAAAAGTCAAGTATCAAAAATTAGAAACAAATGTATATTATAAATGCTCAGAGAGCCATTAAGCAAATGCCATTACCTGGGGCCTTCCCTTTTATGGGTTTACTCCACACATTAGAAAAGGGGATGCTAACTGGCAAGTCTTTTTTTAACTTTAGCATCTTAGTAATAAACTTGCTCTTAATTTTATAGTTTCTCCGTATTGTAGTTAAAGATGTACATTACTTGATTTAGTATAAAAAAAGTTGGAGTCCCTGAATCAACATTTCTTATATGATGAAAAGCTTTAGCAGCTGAATTATGTGAATGAGTATATGCCCCATCTTTCCTTCTTTTGCATCTTGATTTATAACCTGAATTTATCTATGCATTTACTTCTTGTTGAGAATTTGAATGTTTTCTTTGAATGATAACTTTAAGGAAATAAATGATTAAATATTTCGCATAATTGTTTCAAATGCTTATGATGGCACTACCTATAAAATAAACTATAGCCCAAATGTATTGTGAACATATTGGAAACTTAGCCAGATTTTAAAATATTTTTGCAACATAAGGGATAATTTTAAAGAAATGGATGCAAAGTATTAAAAGTATTTTCTCAGCCTATCCAGAGATTTATTGTGACCTTGGTGAGGTGAATTTATTGGTAAATAATGGTACAGTGAATACACTGGAAGCATTCACTTCTTTTTGTTTTTTGTTTGCTTTCTTCTCTACTTTTGAAATTTTCACATAATTGATGATGAGTTGGATTAGAAATACCAAATTATTTTGGATGTTATAACAGCAAAAAAAAGAGAGAGATTTTAAAATAATGATAAGGCCTTTTGGCAAAGTTCAAGAGGGAAAGTGAAAAGAAATTATTAAGAGTTTGAATGCAGGATTTAAACTTTTGAAAACAAAGATGAAAAATAACCAGTAAATATGTTTTAAACTGTGTTCATGTTAAAGGTATCTAATATACAAGAACCTTTTTCATAGACCAAATTTAGTTGTAAAAGTTTTCCTTATTGATAACATAAAATTATTTCAGTGTTCTCTTCATGGCAATCCTCAGTGTATCATCAAAAACACTCAGCCATTGTGTTCTGATCCAAAGGAAACAGTCCATTATGGACATTTAATGCAAATCCAGTAGAGACAGACAGAAAGCAAATTCTTGCTTAAAATCAAAAGTCTTTGTCTACAACCTGTATTTTGAAATTGTATCACATTATATATTGCTGATATTAGAACACTGAGATTGATTAATGGTTTATTGTTCAATGTCATAAACACATGATACTTGAGAACTCAGGGGGACATAAAGATGACTAAGACAACTCTATTCTTTCATAGATGAACATATCTTTAGACTTTGAAGGCTGAATGGTCCAAAAGCACATAGCTAAAGATATTATCTGATATAAAATGATTTTTTCCCCTAGGCCAAACATAATTATAACACATTTAGTCATACAACTACTTGTTTTCTGTTTTGGCCTATTTAAAAAAAATTCAATAGGTTTTTGGGGAACAAGTGATGTTTGGTTACATGAATATGTTATTTAGTGGTGATTTTTAATATTTTGGTGCACCCATCACCTGATCAGTATACACTGAACCCAATGTGTAGTGTTTATTCCTCACCCTCACACCCTTTCCCCCAAGTCCCCAAAGTCCATTGTATCATTCTTGTGCCTTTGCATCCTCATAGCTTAGCTCCCACTTATGAGTGAGAAAATACAATGTTTGGTTTTCCATTCCCGAGTTATTGAACTTAGAATAATGGTTTCCAATTCCATCCATGCTGTTGCAAATGCCATTATTTCATTCATTTTTGTGGCTGACTAGTATTCCATGGTTTATGTATACCACATTTTCTTTATCCCTACATTGACGGATGGGCATTTGGGCTGGTTCCCTATTTTTGCAATTATGAATTGTGCTGCTATAAACATACCTTCGCAGGTATCTTTTTTGTATAATGCCTTCTTTTCCTATGGGTAGATACCCAGGAGTGGGATTGCTGTTTCAAATGATAGATGTACTTTTAGTTCTGTAAGGAATCTCCACACTGTTTTCCGTAGTGGTTGTACTAGTTTGCACTCCCACCAACAATGTAAAAGTGCTCCCTTTTCACCACATCCATGCCAACATCTATTATTTATTGATTTTTTGATTATGGCCATTCTTGTAGAAGTGAGGTGGTATCACATTGTGATTTTGATTTGCAGTTCCCTGATAATTCGTGATGTTGAATTTTTTTCATCTGTTTATTGGCCATTTGGAATATCTTCTTTTGAGAATTATCTATTACTGTCCTTAGCCCACTTTTTGATGGGATTTTTTTTTCTTGCTGATTTGTTTAAGTTCCTTGTAGATTCTGGATATTAGTCCTTTATCAGATGTATAGATTGTGAAGATTTTCCCCCACTCAGTGGGTTGTCTGTTTACTCTACTGATTATTTCTTTTACTGTGCAGAACCTTTTTACTTTAATTAAGTTCCATCTATTTATCTTTGTTTTTGTTGTGTTTGCTTTTTGATTCTTGGTCATGAAGTCTTTGTCTAAGCCATTTTCTAGAAGGACTTTTCCAATGTTATCTTCTAGAAATTTTATGGTTTCAGGTTTTAGATTTAAGTCTTTGATCCATCTTGAGGTGAGTTTTGTATAAGGGTGAGAAATGAGGATCCAGTTTCATTCTTCTACCTGTGGCTTGCCAGTTATCCCAGTACAATTTGTTGAACTGGGTATCTTTTTCCCACTTTACATTTCTGTTTGCTTTGTCAAAGATCAGTTGGCTGTATTTGGCTTTATTTCTGGGTTATCTATTTTGTTCCTTTGGTCTATGTGCCTATTTTTTATACCAGTACCATGCTGTTTTGGTGACTATGGCCTTATAATATAATTTGAAGTCAGGTAATGTGATGCCTCCAGAATTTGTTCTTTTTGCTTAGTCTTGCTTTGGCTATGCAGGCTCTCTTTTGGTTCCATATGAATTTTAGGATTTTTTTTCTAGTTTTGTGAAGAATGATGGTGGTATTTTGTTAAGAACTGCATTGAATTTGTAGATTGCTTTTGGCAGTATGGCCATTTTTACAATATTGATTGACTCCATCTATGAGCATGGGATATGTTTCCATTTGTTTATGTTGTCTATGATGTATTTCAGCAGTGTTTTGTAGTTTTCCTTGTAGAGGTTTTTCTTCTTCTTGGTTAAATATATTCCTGAGTTTTTTTTTTGTTTGTTTTTGCAACTATTATAAAGGGGTTGAGTTCCTGATTTGATTTTCAGCTTGGTCACTATTAGTGTATAGCAGAGCTACTGATTTGTGCACATTATTTTTGTATCCTGAAACTTTTCTTAATTCATTTACCAGTTCTAGGAGCTTTTTGCATGAGTCTTTAGGATTTTCTAGGTATAGGATCATGTCATCACCAAACAGCAACAATCTGACTTCATCATTATCAATTGGATGTCCTTTATTTCTTTCTCTCGTTTGACTGCTCTGGCTAGGACTTCTGCTACTTGAAGAGAAGTGTTAAGAGTAAACATCCTTGACTTGTTCCAATTCTCAGGGGGAATGCTTTTAACTTTACCCTGTTGGCTGTGGGTTTGTCATAGATGGCTTTTATTACCTTAAGGTATGCCCCTTCTTTGGTGTTTTTGATGAGTGTTTTAACCATAAAAGGATGCTGGATTTTGTTCAAAAGCTTTTACTGCATCTATTGAGATAATCATGTGATTTTTATTTTTAATTCTGTTTATGTGGTGTACCACATTTATTGACTCGTGGATATTAAACCATACCTGCATCCCTGCTATGAAACCTACTCGATCATGGTGGATTATCTTTTTGATATGCTGTCAAATTCTGTTAGACAGTATTTTGTTGAAGATTTTTTCATATATGTTCATCAGGGTCTGTAACACAGCTGAAGAAAAGAAATAACAAAGATCTGAGCAGAACTAAATTAAATTGAAACAAAAAACACACAGTACAATAGATAAATGAAACAAAAAGCTAGTTCTTTAAAAAGATAAATAAAAATGATAGAACATTAGTGAGATTAACCAAGAAGAGAAGCAAGAAGATCCAAACAAGCTCAATTAGAAATGCAACAGGAGATATTACAACTGATACCACAGACATACAAAAGAGAACTCTAGGCTACTGTGAACAACTTTGTTCATAGTAAACTAGAAAACCAAGAGGAGATGGATACATTCCTGGAAATATACAACTGTCCTAGATCGTGTTCATAAGGGTCTGATGCATATATGTTCATCCGGGTCTGTGTATTGGTCTGTAGTATTCTTTTTTTGTTATGTCCCCTTTTGGTTTTAGTATTAGAATGATACTGGCTTCATGGAATCACTTAGGGAAGATTTTCTCCTTCTCTGTCTTGTGGAATAGTGTCAATAGGATTGGTACCAATTTTTGCTTGAATGTCTAATATAATTCAGCCATGAATCTGTCTGGTCCTGGACTTTTTTTTGTTGTTGGTAACTTTTTAATTACCCTGTCAATCTCACTGCTTGTTATTTGTCTGTTCAGAGTTTATATTTTTTTCCTTGTTTAATCTAGGAGGGTTGTATATTTCCAGGAATTTATCCATCTACTCTTGGTTTTCTATTTTATGTGCATAAAGTTGTTCATAATAGCCTAGAATGCTCTTTTGTATGTCTGTGGTATCAGTTCTACTATCTCCTGTTTTATTTCTAATTGAGCTTTTTTGGATCTTGCTTCTCTTTTTAGTTAATCTCACTAATGATCTATCATTTTTATTTATCTTTTTAAAGAATTAACTTTTTGTTTCATTTATCTATTGTATTGTATGTTTTTTGTTTCAATTTCACTTAGTTCTGCTCTGATTTCGTTATTTATTTTCTTCTCCTGTGTTTGGGTGTGGTTTGTTCTTGTTTCTCTACTTCCTTGACATGTTACCTTAGATTGTCTATTTGTACCCTTTCAGACTTTTTGATGTAGGCATTTAATGCTGTGAACTTTCCACTTGGCACCACTTTTGCTGTATCCCAGAGGTTTTGATAGGTCATGTCACTATTGTCATTCAGTTCAAAAAATTTTTTAATTTCCATTTTCATTTCATTGTTGTCTCAATGATCATTCAGAAGCAGGTTGTTTAATTTCCATGTATTTGCATGGTTTTGAGGGTTCATTTTAGAGTTGATTTTCAATTTTATTCCAATATGGTTTGAGAGAGTACTTGATATAATTTTGATTTTCTTAAATTTGTTGAGAATTGTACTGTGGCCTATCATATTGTCTCTCTTGGAGAATGTTCCATGTGCTGATGAATAGAATGAATATTCTGCAGTTGATGGGTAGAATGTTCTTTAAAGATCTGTTAAGTCCATTTGTTCTAGGATATAATTTAAGTCTATTGTTTCTTTGTTGACTTTCTGTCTTCATGACCTGTCTAGTGCTGTCAGTGGAATATTGAAGTCCTCCACTATTGCTGTGTTGCTGTCTATCTCATTTCTTTGGTTTAGTAGTAACTGTTTTATATTTAACAAATTTGGGATCTGCAGTGTTAGGTGCATGTATATGTAGAATTGTGAATTTTTTTTTCTGTTGGACTAGTTCTTTTATCATTACATAAAGTCCCTCTGTCTTTTTTAACTGCTGTTGCTTTAAAGTTCATCTTCTCTGATATAAGAATAGCTACTCCTGCTTGCCTTTGGTGTCCATTTTCATGAAATATCTGTTTCCACCCCTTTATTTTAAGTATATTAGTCCTGTGTCAGGTGAGTCTCTTGAAGACAGCAGATACTTGGTTGGTGAGTTTTTATGCACTCTGCCATTCTGTATCTTTTAAGTGCAGCATTTCGGCCATTTACATTCAATGTTAGTATTGAGATGTAAGGTACTATTATATTCATTATACTATCTTTTGCCTGAATACCTTGGTTTATTTCATTGTGTTGTTGTTTTATAGGTCATTTGAAATTTATGCTTTAAGGAGATTCTATTTTGTTGTATTTTGAGAATTTGTTTCAATATTTAGATCTCCTTTTAGCAGTTCTTGTAGTGCTGGCTTGGTAGTGGTAAATTCTCTCAGCATTTGTTTGTCTGAAAAAGACTGTATTTTCCCTTCATTTATGAAACTTAGTTTTGCTGGATAAAAAATTCTTGACTGAGAAGTGTTTTGTTCAAGCAGGTTAATGATAGGACCTCAATTTCTTCTAGCTTGTAGGATTTCTCCTGAGAAATCTGTTAATCTGATACGTTTTCCTTTATAGATTACCTGGTGTTTTTGTTTGTTTGTTTTTCCACACATTTCTTAAGATCCTTTCCTTCATCTTGACATTAGATAACCTGATGACTATGTGCCTAGGAGATTATCTTTTTGTGATTAATTTCCCAGGTGTTCTTTGAGCTTCTTGTATTTGAATGTCTAGATCTCTAAGAAAGCTGGGGAAGTTTTCTGCAATTATTCCCTCAAATGTGTTTTCCAAACTCCTATATTTCTCTTCTTCCTTGGGAGCACCAATTGTTTTTATGTTTGTTCATTTAATATAATTCCAAACTTCTTGGAGGCTTTGCTCGTTTTTTAAATTTTTTTTTTCTTTTTCTTAGTTGGATTGGATTAATTTGAAAGCCTTGTCTTCAAGTTCTAAAGTTTTTTCTTCTATTTGTTCAATTCCATTGCTGAGACTTTCCAGTGCATTTTGCATTTCCCTAAGTATGTCATTGATTTCCAGAAGTTGTGATTGTTTTTTATTTATGCCGTCTATTCACTGGAGATTTTTCCATTCATATCCTGTATCATTATTTTGGATTTCTTTAAGTTGAACTTCACCTTTCTCTAGTGCTTCCTTGATTGCCTTAATAATCAATCTTCTGAAATCTTTTTCTGGCAATTCAGAGATTTAGTCTTGGTTTGGATCCATTGCTGATAATCTAGTGTGATCTTTTTGGGATGTTAAAGAACCTTATTTTGCCATGTTATCAGAATTATTTTTCTGGTCTCTTCTCATTTGGGTAGACTATGTCAGAGGGAAGATGTGTGACTCAGGCTGTTGTTCAGATTCTTTTCTCCCACAGGATGTTTCCTTGATGTGGTGTTCTTCCCTTTCCTCTAGGGATGGGGCTGCCTGAGAGTCAAACTTCAATTATTGTTATTTCTCCTCTAGCTCTAGCCACCCAGTGGAGCTACCAGGCTCTGGGCTGATACTGGGGAGTGTCTTCAAAAAGTCCTGTCATGTAACCCATCTTCAGGTCTCTCAGCTGTGGATACCAGCACCTACTCCATTATAGGTAGCAGGGGAGTGAAGTAGACTCTGTGAGGGTCCTTGGTTGCATTTTTGTTAAGTGTGCTGGTTTTGTGTTGGTTGGCCTCCAGCCAGGAGGTGGTGCTTTCAAGAGCACATCAGTTGCGATTGTATAGGGAGGATCAGGCAGTCAACAGAGCCATACGGCTCCCAAGAGATTATGTACTTTGTCCTGGGCTACCAGGGTAGGTACAGAAAGACCATCAGATGGGGGCACTGTTAGGCTTTTCTGAGCTCAGACTTTGGCAGGTCTTGCTGTGGCTGCTGTGGAGGATGGGGATGTGGTTCCCAGGCCAATGGAGTTATATTCCCAGGGGGATTATGGCTTTCTCTGCTGCATCACATAGCTCACCAGGGAAGTGGGGGAAGAGCCGGCAGCCCCAGGCCTTACCTTGTTCCCATGCAGCCCACAGCCCAAACAGCTGGTCTCACTCCCCTCATGTCCCACCCAACATCACCAAGTTTATTTCCAGGAAGCTGGTAACAGCTAAGAACTTGCCCCAGACTACAAGCCTCCCAGCTGAGAAAGCAAGCCAACTCACAATTCCTCAGCTATCCCATGGAGCCTGCAGCTGCAGTCCACCTCTTTCAAAGGGTCTGTGGATTCTCTTGGCTTTCCTGGTATGTTCCTGTGGTAGTTCTTGGAGCAAAAGTTCACAGTGTGGGTCTCCACATGCTGCTCTGTTGGTCCATGTGGGAGCTGCAAGTTAGTCCTGCCTCCTCTCCGCCATTTTCCCTGGCTCTAGTCATACAACGTCTGAAGTACCATTTGGTATAAGTACAATTTTGATGCTTATTTCACACAGGATAAAGTGAATATACAATAAGGGTGTTATAATGTTGTGTCACAGTTATATTAGAGTAGATTTTGGATCTATTTGAACATTTCCTCCATTATAGTAACTCTTTGGACACATGTGCTTGTTGATTGTTCCAAAGTGTTAACTTGACATACCACAAAGTTGCTTTTTTTCCCCCTTAGATTCAACCTGAAGTCTAAAATAATTAAATTATTAATTAATAATTGACACTGGACAAGAATGTGGTCACTTTTTCATGTTTCATTAAAGATATAGAAGACCTCTAAAAATCTTCCATTTCTGGTTAAAGTTTATCTAACAGCCTAATGTCACCATCTTGTGACCAAACCAGGCTTAGCCCCAGGAAGGGAACCTGTGTTCTGGGAAGGTGTGCATAATTAGAATAAGTACCTTAGCCCTAGCTTAGTGATACTCTATAGATCTACTAACAGGGGAATAACATCCAAATAGCTTATGTATTTCATGCGAATTTTACAAAAAAAAAAATTGTTTTTTTTTTTGAGATGAAGTTATGCTCTTCTTGCCCAGCCTGGACTGCAGTGGTGTGATCTTGGCTCACTGCAACCACCTCCTCCAGAGTTCAAGGGATTCTCCTGCCTCAGTCTTCCAAGTATCTGGGACTACAGGCATGTGCCACCATGCTTGGCTAATTTTTGGATTTTTAGTAGAGACAGAGTTTGGCCATGTTGGTCAGGCTGGTTCTGAATAAAAAAATTCTAATAAGGTTTTGTAGCATTTCTAGAACTCAAGATTAATGCAATTTCTGATATCTCACTTACTTAGAGTCATAAATACCAGGAAGAAACATTATAATTGCATGTGCAGAGGTTTAGCTTAATTTTGCTTCATTGGATGGAAGTTTTGATTCAGGAGGTTAAAAAGTATCCGCAAATATCTATGTGCCATGTGTGCTGTCCATCCTATTAAGCACATAAGCACAATACTCACTTTATGTGAGAAATTATACCTTCTTTTTTTTAGAAAGATTATTTTCTCAATGCATGGCTTGTGTATTAAATTGCATTCCCAATGTTAACAAAGGGAATCATAATTCGTAAAGTGAATCTAAGCTATACTTCAGGTGCGTGACTTTTTGTTAAGCTAAAGGTGAGTCCAGGGTCAGGCGTTTTGGCTCACACCTGTAATTTTAGCACTTTGGAAGGTCGAGGCGAGAGGATCATTTGAGCTCAGGAGTTCAATACCAGCCTGGGCAACATGACAAAACACTGTCTCTACAAGCAAATACAAAAATTAGGGTGGCATACACCTATGGTCCCAGCTTCTTCAGAGGCTGAGTTGGGAGGATCACTTGAGCCCAGGAGGCAAAGGCTGCAATGAGTCGTGTTCCTGCTGCTGCAGTCCAGACTGGGTGACAGAGCAATACCCTGTGTCTCAAAAAAAAAAAAAAAAAAAAAAAGTATGAGACCAAGTTGTGGTAATATCTCACAGGGTATGTATTGATTAAACTTTATCCCAACTATTGATTATTCTCAACAAAACTTACAAAACAACTGCTTGGGTGACAAAATCTTAAATACATTTGCTTTACCATTCATGTCTTGTACCTGCAAATATTTACAAAGTGACAACTGAAAGAGGTCTTCTATACTTTATTTATTTATTTATTTTTTTAATTTTATTATTATTATACTTTAAGTTTTAGGGTACATGTTCACAACGTGCAGGTCAGATGATATTTCTCTAAGTAGGTCACTGTAAAAATGGATTTCTGTTACATAAGTTTTAAATTAATTTCTTGTGGTGAAATGGACAGAATATAATGAAAATAAGTGCCACTGAGGACTGAAGAGCTGTTATTGAAATGAAAAATAACATTTCTAATACACTTTAATATGAGTATTGATTATCACGAATGTATACCTAATCAAAGGGAAGCTGAGTTCCAAATGATGACCTGCATGGTTTGTTTAAAGTAGTTTCTGTGGAAGAAAATATTTGAGTAAAGGTAATCATTATTGAGATTGAATTTTTACTATGGTCATAAATTTTCTGTCTGTTTTTTGGTCCCTGAAGTACTAATTTCAATAATAAATTTTCATCTCACTTCAATATAATGCATTTTCTTTTTACTTTCATCATTGCTTTAAAACATTTACTAGAGATATGAAATGGTACAGAAGTTGAATGATAGAACAAAGAGTGGTGTAGAAATAAAAAATTATAGCCAGTATTTATAAGTTATATTGGGAACTTGGCAAGATCTCCTGTACTGGGTGAGGCATGAATGGATCCATTTATCTGTCAGTGTGAAATTAGTTAAGGTTTGCCTATGGGACTTGTCCAGTTAGAGGGCTAATAAAGACCACTGAGCAAATTTGAGCTGTCAGTAACTTAATTGTACTTTCTCTAATCTATAACTAGGAGACATCTTATTGATCATTGATCATACAACTTTCACAGTAGTGTTTAGTGAAGATACCATTTTGATGCTTATTTCACACATAATATAGTGAACATGTAGTGGTGATAGGGTTTGAATTATATGTCACAATTATAAGAGTAGCCGTTGAGTCTATTTCAACGTTTTCTCCCTCATATTAACACTTTTGACCACATATGCTTGTAGATTAGTACAGGATATTAACAAGATACACCACAAAGTAGTTGCTTTGCTTTTTTTCTTAGATTTAAACTGAAGTCTAAAAGATGAGCTTTCACAGTCAATAATTGTATTACATCTTAAAATTATTTCCAGAACTATGATTCTATGAATTTTGGGTGAGGCGCAAATTTATTTGTTCTTTGTGCAATGTTTAAATATTACTCAATGAAAGAGGGAATAAGCCAACTACACACCATAAAGAGAAAACAATTATTTCCCGAATAAATCTAACCAATTTTAAGCATAGTATTAGAAATCCATATGAAGGATGACATTAAGAATCTATAAATATCTTATCTAGATATGAAAACATACTGGCCTGGATAGGTAAGACACGATTTCTTGGCATGATTAGTGCTACCAACATATTTACAAAAGAAGTGAAAGACTACTATCAGTTGCATGAAATATTATCAGTCTCCATTATAACTGTTGATTGATTGGTTGGCTTATTCATTCACTTGTGAGGCCAAGCAATACATCTGTGTTATTATTGGTAGAAGTTAAAGAGCTTTAGTCTCATACACCTTCCAAATAAAAATTGCTCTATGTGAATTAAGCAGTAAATTAAAAATTAATTTTCTGACAAAATTTTCAGAAACAGGCTGAAGTTCTGGCTATTTATATAGAGACTCTTGTTTATTCAGTAGTAACCCTATTCATAACCCACTCTGTTTATAGTGCAGTCGTAGGAGAAAGAAACAACCAGTACTTACAATCTATGAACTGTCTTATCAAAATAGACTGAAGCTTCCCAAGAAAGAAAGGGAGAAAAACGTCTTCCTGAGAAGCCTTAAAACAAGTGATAGCTGTTTTCTATGAAGGCCTATCATTTAACCCTCAAGCATAAGTGATTTTCACATATCACTTCACTTAATCATCACAAGAAAATTATTATGTAAATGGTTCTCCATTTCACTCATGGAGACAGCTCAGAGAGACTAAATCTCTTAAGGTCACAATGCTAAGTGATACAGCTGTGATTAACAGGTTTGCTTGGTTTCAAACCTGGAGTGATTATCTTACTATGGCTTGATATAATATTCACATATATGCTGTGTCTATTTTAGAAATAATTTTCCTGGAATTGATCTTTACATTCTAAATAAACAAGGCTAAGAATCTGTGACTTATTGTACACAGAGAGAAAGAATGTAGGTGTTTTTCAGTGTCTTCAAAGAGGTTACTACCTCTGATATCTGAAAACTGGGAAATTTGTCCTTGGTAAGTGGCCCATCCCTCACCCTAATTCTTCTTGCTTCTTCATTTATCTTTAAAAGTCTGTGCTCTTACAATCCAAACATCCTTGACATTTTTCCCAATCTATGCATTCTCATCTTCAAAATTTTACAGAGATTATCTTTCTCTACAAAGTATCTGTACTCCTTTCATCTAGAAAGGTAATAATTATATTCTTTCATTTGCTATACTAGGTCTTACAGTTTAGTCAATCCTCATCTCACACCAGTTAGAATGGCAATCATTAAAAAGTCAGGAAACAACAGGTGCTGGAGAGCATGTGGAGAAACAGGAACACTTTTACACTGTTGGTGGGAATGTAAACTAGTTCAACCATTGTGGAAGTCAGTGTGGCGATTCCTCAGGGATCTAGAACTAGAAATACCATTTGACCCAGCCATCCCATTACTGGGTATATACCCAAAGGATTATAAATCATGCTGCTATAAAGACACATGCACACATATGTTTATTGTGGCACTATTCACAACAGCAAAGACTTGGAACCAACCCAAATGTCCAAGAATGATAGACTGGATTAAGAAAATGTGGCACATATACTCCATGGAATACTATGCAGCCATAAAAAATGATGAATTCATGTCCTTTGTAGGGACATGGATGAAGCTGGAAACCATCATTCTCAGCAAACTATCGCAAGGACAAAAAACCAAACACCGCATGTTCTTACTCATAGGTTGGAATTGAACAATGAGAACACATGGACACAGGAAGGGGAACATCACATACCGGGGACTGTTGTGGGGTGGGGGGAGTGGGGAGGGATAGCATTGGGAGATATACCTAATGCTAAATGACGAGTTAATGGGTGCAGCACACCGACATGGCACATGTATACGTATGTAACAAACCTGCACATTGTGCACATGTACACTAAAACTTAAAGTATAATAATAATAATAATAAAAAGAGTTTACTACTAAAGTCTAACATGGTGAATAAGGGCAGCCATGTTTACTGGAATGCTGATGTGTGGTTTCTTTCCTACCTACTACATGAAGCTTTTTTCTTTCTTTTTTTTTCTCTCTTTTTCTAGTCTAGCAGCCAATACCAGAAAGCACTAGTCTCCAAAATGCTATGTCACCTCTGAAGGAATTCCAAACCAGATTTAAGATCTTTCTTTCTCTCTGTTTTTCTCTAATATGTCATATGAAATCATCAAATTCCATACTCTCTGGATGATCTCTGGTGCACATATCTCTATTTAACTGTTTTTCCTCTTTCAGGACTGATCAAATACCATGTCCTTCATGAAGCTTTTATGCCTTGGAATTTTATACTCTGATCTCTTCATTAAACTCTCTGGCATCCATCATTATAATCAGTTACCTGTCCCTCCCTCCCTCCCTTTCTTTTTCTTTCTTTTTCTTTCTTCCTTTCTTTCTTCCTTTCTTTCTTTCTTTTTCTTTCTTTCTTTTTCTTTTCTCTCTTTCTCTTTCTTCCTTCCTTTCTTCCTTTCTTTCTTTCTTCTTTCTTTCGCTTTTCTTCTTTCCCTCCCTCCCTCCCTTCCTTCCCTCTCTCCCTCCCTCCATTTTTCTTCCTTCCTTCTTTCTTTATTTTCTTCTTTTCCCGAAGTAAACTATTTGACATATTCTCTCTTTTTTAATATATATCTTTCATTCTTTTTCTGTATTCTTTCAAATGAGAGTATTTTTGAATGAATGGATAAAGATTGTATTAGTTTGTGCTTGTGTTGCTATAAAAATACCTGAAGCTGGGTCATTTATAAAGAAAAGAGGTTAATTGGCTCATGATTCTGCAGAGTGTGCAGGAAGCATGGTGCCAGCATCTGCTTCTGGCCTCAGAGAACTTACAGTCATGGCAGAAGGTGAAGGGGAGCCAGCATGTCACATGGTGAGAGTGGGAACAGGAGTGAGAAGAAGTCCCAGGCTTTTAAGCAATTAGATTTTGCATGAACTACTGAGAGTGAGAATTCACTTAACACCAAGTGGATGGGGCCAAACCATTCATGAGGGATCCACCCCCATAATCCAGTCACCTCCCACCTGGCCTCACCTCCAATATTGGGAATTAGCTTTTAATATGAGATTCAGAAAGGAAAAACATTCAAACAGTATTATCCCCCCTTTAAAATTTTCTCCTTTTAAAAACAAAGAAGCTGGCCAGGCACAGTAGTTCAGGCCTATCCCAGCACTTTGGGAGGCCGAGGCAGGCGGATCACCTGAGGGCAGGAGTTAGAGACCAGCCTGGCCAACATGGTGAAACCCCGTCTCTACCAAAACTACAAAAATTAGCCAGGCATGATGGCAAACGCCTGTAATCCAGCTACTCGGGAGGCTGAGGCAAGAGAATTGTTTGAACCCGGGAGGCAGAGGTTGCAGTCAGCTGAGATTGTGCCATTGCACTCCAGCCTGGGCAACAAGAGCGACACTTCATAAAAAAAAAAAAAAAAAAGCTGATAAATATTACTCAGTAGACCTAGATTGTATTTTAATCTGTTGCACTGTCTCCTTAATGTTGGACAAATTCTCTATTACTCTGTCCCTTCGTTTCTTCATTTGCAAAAGGGAGCTAGTAATAGTACTTACCTCATGCAGCTGTTATGAGTGTTTAATGAACTAATATTTATAAAGCACTTAGAACCCCATCTAGTATACTGCAAGTGCTCCATAAATGTTAGATTTTCTTACCTCTTACTAGATAGCTTTGTTAAATAACTCATATACGCATTTAAGTATTTCCTCTCTGCCTCACACATATGGCAATACTCAAAGGTTTATATTAATGGCCAACTTAGAATTTGAAGAAATTGTTTAAAATGTCTTATCTGGCTATAAATCTTCTAGCCTCAATTTATTCTGGTTCATTTTTGGTAGCTGTAACCTAGAATTTTTTTTTTTTTAATTTAAAATCCCAATTCCACGGGTTTTATGATTAGTCCTCTTTTAGGACCTATGTCACCTAGGCAAATCGTTACTTGATTTTGTATTTTCTAAATATTTCTGATAATGTCAAATTAATTATTTGTAAAAAAATCTAAATATTGATATATACATTCATAAAGTATTGATTTTTTTACTTAGGGCTTATGAAACAGATTTTATTATAAAAATTATTTGAAAAGTAATTTACTGAGAATAGCCTCATCTCTTTTTAATGGTTTGATTAATAGTTTTATGGTCCCATGTCACTTCTTAATTCTAAATAATTAGCATTGAATGATTCTACATTTAATCTTCAAAATAGTCTTGAATAGTTTCTCTTTTCTCACATTTCCACTTTACTTACTTCTGAGTTTTTATTTCCATGTCTGGGCAGAAAGCCAAAAGTGGTTAGGCAGAACTATTTAGTTCTACTTGAGTCAAAATTCAATTGCAACTTCGTGAATAAGACTCTTTGGATCCAAGCATCGCCCACAATCTAACCCTTAGGATGTTGATTTCCCTAGAGAGCTAGATAGCTTAGGAAACTCGGAAGCAAATAACATGAGTCTAAAGATGCATGCCTAGCAGTATGCTTACCATTTTTCTAATATATAAACATAATTTAAAACTATATAAATTAAAATGTTTAACTCTAAAAATATTAAGCCACTGATATTAGCACTTATGTTAGAAAGCCCAGTGTGAAGTGGCTAAAAAAGAGGAGATTGCTCTGGCAAAAAGACTACATATTTTCAGAAAACAAAACAAAACAAAACCTATTTTCTTCCAGACTGACAGTTGTAAGGTGATCTAACTTCTAAAATGAGACATGCTCTGCCATATTTCATAGGGATCTATAGCACTACAATCTGAGCTTTTCTGATAGTTGCTGCAGGCAACTTTGAAGCTGAATAATAAGTTCCAAATTTGAATCCTCCAAATTTCAGATACAGAAGCTGATTTTCTTACAGTAACCAAAAATGGACAATTTCTTAAAGACAGGTTAACATTAGATAATAAAATAGCCAGAAAGCCTACTGACTACATGTTAAAGGATGCTGTCCTTTCCACATGATAAGACATCTGTCATTTCCTAACCAGTTCAACCCTCATCCTCAGCATTTTTCCTCTGGGAAAGGGATGTTATAAGAAGGGTTTTGTTTTTTTTCTAGTATAGACTCAATCTGAATTAAGTACAATGGTTTTACTGTAGCATGGCTTTATGCTTTGGGAACCCCAGTGACATACAGATTTCCCACTATTCTGTAGCATCTGGTTTTTGTGTCTCAGAATAAGATTTACTTTAGAGTTGTACCTTTTCTTGTTTAAATTTCTTTTTTATGTTAAACTTTTTTCAATTAACATATACTTATTATTAGAAAATTTAATGTACAATGGTCAGTTCCTTGTTTTGATCACACCGTTCCAAGTGATACAATCTGTCTCTTTTTATGTGTTTTTTACTGATAAGTTAGATTTCTTGGCATGCTCCTTGCTCTGTAGTTTCATTCTCCATGCTGCTATTAATATCTTCTGCCATGTGTGTTCATGCCTCTCCACAGGAGGTTAGAAGATTTCACACCTTAGCAATATGCTCTGCATACCCTTCTAACACCTTATGCCTATGAGAGGCATGGGGTTGGTTGTATTGCAATTCCACTTACACTCTGTTCTAGAAAGTATGATGAATTTTGTAATATTTACATCACCACACCTACCCTATATTTCTACCCAGCTTTTCATCTTTTCCTCATACTAAAATGGAAGAAGCATCCCTGTTACTTTCAATGGGAAATTTCTATATCTGTTCCCCGGAATCCAATTATTTTCACCTTCTCATGAGTTTTACAATTTTTGATAGTCCCCTTTTTCAAAAGCATCATTTCTTTCAGCAAAGACAATGCTTCTTATTTCCCATATAAAAGAAAATAATTTGTTGAACCCACTTTTCTGATGACACAAAATGCTTTTGTTTCTGCTGTTCATTCATTAAAAGATATCAATCAATTGTCTTAACTCATGGTCTTTGTATCTTCACATTCAATATACTGTTGAAGCCACTGTAATAAATCTCCAGTCCTTTGATATATTTTCTGATGTTATTCTTGACAAGTTAACTATTAATAATACTGTCCATCTTGCCAAATCCAATTAACCCTCACTAACCTCAATCAACCTCCTAACAGAATTCACCCCAGTTGTTAGCTCCTTCCTTCCTGGTAAGCCATTTCTTGGCTGCATGCCACTCCCCTTCCCAGTTTTCCCTCTCTCCTTTGGCTGTCACCATCTCCGAACAGATACTGACCTGCTCTATACTCAATAGGTTGTGTACTTCAGTGCTCAATCTTTTATTTCTTTTCTCTTATAATTCTGTTCCAGATGAGATTATACCATTCCCATTACCTTAGCTTTATGCTGATATATCATCTCAAAGTTATATTTCCTATTTAGAAAGGACAATTGAATTCCATACCCATATTTGACTTTTGCTTTTTATTCCACATGGGTATCTAATGGGCATTTAAGGCATAATCATTAATTTTTCCCAAACTACCTTTCCCCAGCTCTTTTTATCCACCTCAGTAAAGGGGCCTATCAATTAAATAGTAGGTCAAACACGTGTGGAAATGGAGTCACCTGTGATTTAATTGCTTTACTAATGCCACTGCAACAAGAAGTCTATGAATTTCATTTCATATATAACAGTATGTTGTACACTTTTTTCCATCATCTTCTATCTTTCCATCTTTGTCCAAGTTGACAAATAATTTTTTTTATAAATTGTTTTCAACTTTCTACAGTATATGATAAAAAGTAGCCACTGTTATTTTTCAGAGCATTAATAAATCTGTTTTTATTTTCTTGAATTTGAAATTCTTGCCATTGCTTTCACAAAAGATACCTTGTCCTACCTTGTCCTAACTCTTGGAGATTCATGTCATTCAGTCTCCATAGCCACATTGACATAGATTTGTTTTCTAACCAATTGAAACTGTTTCTTTAATTTCGATCTTTGCATCTTGGTTTTCTCTGTTTCATATATTCTTCCCTAGCACTTTTCACATAATTAATCAGTCCATTTCATCTTTCAGGTCTAGATAAAATATTACTTAAGCTGAGATTTAAAAAGAGAAAAAAGCATTAGAGGCTTTAGGAGAGAATATTTATCTCCTTAAATAGTTGAAGAAATAGTCTGAAGCTTTTCTAGAACATATGATAATTGTTTAATAGTATATATTCAGAGACATGTTAATCAGCTGTTGCTAAATAACACATAACTCCAAAACTCAGGGGTCTTAAAAAAAAGCTGTGTCTAACTACACTGCATGTGTCGGTGGGTTAGCTGAGGGCTAGCTGAATTAGGCTAGCTTTTGATGCCAGCTCTGTTTATCTCTGGGGCACTCCATCGTGCATCTGCACATTTACTAGATTGATCTACGCTAGGTTGGGAACCTTAATTGGGACAACTTTGCCCCGTGTGTTTCCCTTCCTCCTGCTAGGACAAGTTAATTAGCCCAATCATGCTTTTCCTGTGGCAGTGGCATAGGACACAAGGAAACATACAAAGTCTCATGAAACCTAGGCCCAGAAAGAAGACAGACACCATCACTTTCAGCTCATTTGATTACAAAAGTAAGCTGAAATCTAACGCAATATAAGAGAACTCTACAAAATTACATGAATTGAAGAGGGAAAAATAATTTGTGGCCTATAATTCAACCTATCTTTATTTATTTTTTTATCTCATTCTTTGACTAAACAAGGGTTTAGTTGAACTGTGATGGAGGTACAATGTTAATAAATATAAATGTTTTGTTTTTCATTTTATATTATTTTTAAACCTTAGCTACAATGAAATTTCAAGATAAATTCATCTCTGACTTCAAGGATTCTAATTTTTTTTGAATAATAACAACAAGAAGTCTTATTATAGGTTTAATATTTTTTTTCATTAAACATATTATAGGCTTCCAAGAGGTGAGTTCTTTTGGTCTCTCCACTATTAATCGCTGTTTCTGCTATCTACTTTTATTCATGGAATTTGGTAAGACCTTATAAAATTATTCTTTGAATTAGTAATTGAACTTAGAATTAAAGACTGATGGATAAGAATAATTGATATAAGTTCTATAAAAATATAAAGTTGCCATGTAATCAAATATAGAATTTAAAAGTATATTTGAATATTTTAATGTATTTAGATATAATACTTTCCTTGGTTCAGTTGTATTTTCTTCATTATAACATCAAGTAAAAACTTCTCTTTTTTTCTCTAGATACTTCATCAACTACAATGTTGAAGACGACAGATTTTTCAACATTGATGCCAATACTGGGACCATTAGGACTACAAAGGTTCTCGACAGAGAAGAAACTCCATGGTACAACATCACAGTCACTGCTTCAGAAATTGGTAAACTACTTTATGTATCACAGTAAAAGATGTCACTTGTACAAGAAGACATACTGAAATTTCCTTAAGAGCAGGGCTCTCATAATCTTTATTTTTGATATCAGGATCTAGGAGAGTAAGCGGAGTGTATTAGATATAATTTCTCATTATCAGATAGCATGAATAAGTCTTATGCCTTCCTCCTTACTGTAATTCTGGCATGGTGATGGAAAAGTGGCATCACAGAACACTTATGCCTCATCCTTGAGTCAAGGGCATTTGGTTCTCCTTCTAATTGGGAGACTTGCTTTTTCATTTGCTTTTGCCTTACTTACACTATCAAGTCATTGGAATGACTTGATATGTGTGATAGTTTAGGAAAAAAGAAAGAAAGAAAAATGTATAATTGCACATTGATTATTTTGTCAATATAATACCTCTGCTCAAGTTTCAAAAACACTTATAGAACTTACAGTAAAAGAATAATTCTTGGAATTTCAACAGCCAGGTTTAGGCTCTCTTCAAGTAACATACGTGATCTACAGTTGAGGATGACTCTTGTTCTACCTCCACCCAGAATATTCCATTGTGATAAACACCTAAGCTCAGGAAACAACATAAAAAAATATATATCCGTAATACTTCTGGAATCATAAAGGTAGATATGACTGTGTTAAATGAAATTAGAATATAACTCTAAGAAAATGAATCCATCTTCATAACAATAAAGTTTTTTTAACATATTCGTAAGTAGACCAAAAGTACCAATTATCCTCACTTTAAAAGTGTACGAAGAGGTTATACATACATTTAGGAAATGTTTTGATGTATTCATGAAAAAAACCATGAATATATTAGAGATTAAGAATACTTCACATTTGAAAATAGTGCCATGTAAAGTAAAATCACGTTCTGTTTTTCTTTCAGAGGGTCTAAAACATTAAAAATTTTAACAGCTTCATTGATATACAATTCACACAGCATAAAATGAACCCTTTTAACGTGTATAACTCAATGGTTTCTAGAATATTCACAGAGTTACACATCCATTACCATAACCAATTTCAAAACATTTTTATTACTACAAAAAAAAAAATTCTGCATTACTTAGTCATAATCCCCCACACTCTTTCACCTTAATTCAGGAAGCCATTAATTGACTTTCTGTCTCTATAAATTTGCCTGCTATTGCTTTGCTATATAAAATAATCATATAATAGGTAGTCTTTTGTGACAGGTTTGTATCATTGAGCATGATGTGTTCAATGTGTATGCATATTATAGTATGTGTCATTGGTACTTCATTTTTTTATTGCCAAAATTATTCTATTGTATTGATATACCACATATTTATCCATTCTTTACTTGACAAACATTAATCTGGTTTCCATTTTTTTCCTAATAGGAATAATATTGCTGTAGGCATTGGTGTAAAAGTAGTTGTGGAAATGTTTCCATTTCTCTTGAGTATATGCCTAGGAGTGAAATTGCTGGTAACTCTTATGTGTAGCCACTTGATGAACTAGCAGATTGTTTTCCAATGTGGATGCACTGTTTTACATTTCTGACAGCAATAGGGTTTCCTATTTCTTCATATTTCCACCAACATTTGTTACTATATGTCTTTTTATTATAGCCATTCTAGTGGGTGTGAGGTGGTATTGCACTGTAGTTTATGCATGCTTCTATTGCCCTTAGTTATGTAGCAGTCATGAGGCTACTTCAGTGTTTTTGATTCTACTTGGATTTTGGTGTCTGCAAAATTAGCTCAAGTGGCTTCCATTTGAATTAGTTTTTCACCATAATATCTCTGTAAAAGTAACCTTTCACTAATTACTTTTAAAGGGGTTCTCTAAAGAATCCATGAGTGAGTTCAATTGTAATCATTTCTGGTTATTTTCATCTTCAAAATAACCAGACGTTAGCAATTGTGAATCCTTAGTAATGTAAGAACAAATTAAATGGCGGTTAAATAATAAGGACTCATTAAAACTTAGTTAAGAAATAAAGGGATGAATGGAAAAATATATCCAAGAAAAAAATTATGAGGGTTAATATGGTTTGGTTGTCCTCACCCATATCTCATCTTGAATTGTAGCTCGCATAATTCCCACCTGTCATCGGAGGGACCCAATGGGAGGTAATTGAATCATGAGGCCGGGTCTTTCCCATGCTGTTCTCATGATAGTGAATAAGTCTCAGGAGATCTGATGGTTTTATAAAGGGGAGTTCCCCTGCACACGCTCTCTCTTGCCTGCCGCCATGTAATATGTGACTTTGCTTTTCCTTTGCCTTCTTTCATGATTGTGAGGCCTTCCCAGCCATGTGAAACTAAGTCCATTAAACCTTTTTCCTTTATAAATTACCCAGTCTCGGGTATGTCTTTATCAGCAGTGTGAGAACAGACTAACACAGTAAATTGATACCAGTAGAGCGGGGTAGTGCTGTAAAGATACTTAAAAATGTGGAAGTGACTTTGGAATCGGGTAACAGTCAGAAGTTGAAACAGTTTGGAGGGCTCAGAAGAAGATAAAAAAAATGTGGGAAAGTTTGGAACATCCTGGAGACTTGGAGTGCTCGGAAGACAGGAAGATGTGGGAAAGTTTGGAACCTCCTAGAAACTTGTTGAATGGCTTTGACCAAAATGCTTATAGTGATATAAACAATAAAGTCCAGGCTGATGTGATCTCAGATGGAGATCAGGAACTTTTTGGGAACTGGAGCAAAGGTGACTCTTATTGTACCTTAGCAGAGACTAGCAGCTTTTTGCCCCTGCCCTAGAGATCTGTGGAACTTTGAACTGGAGAGAGATGATTTGGGGTATCTGGTGGAAGAAATCTCTAAGCGACAAAGAGTTCAAGAGGAAGCAGAGCATAAAAGTTTGGAAAATTTACAGCTTGTTGATGAGATAGAAAAAGAAAAACCCATTAACTGGGAAGAAATTCGAGCCTGCTGCAGAAATTTGGATAAGTAACAAGGAGCCAAATGTTAAACACCAAGACAATGGGGAAAATGTCTCCAGGGCATGTCAGAGACCTTCACAGCTGACCCTCCCATCACAGACCCAGAGACCTAGGAGGGAAAAATTGTTGTGTGGGCTGGGCCCAGGGCCCCCTGCTGTGTGCAGCCTAGGTACTTGGTGCCCTGCATCCCAGTCGCACCAGCTGTGGCAAAAAAGGGCCAAGGTATAGCTTGGGCAGTGGCTTCCTAGGGTGCAAGCACTAAGCCTTGGCAACTTCCACATGGTGTTGAGCCTGAGGGTAGATAGAAGTCAAGAATTGAGGTTTGGGAACCTCCTCCTAGATTTCAGAGAATGTATGGAAACCCCTGGACACCCAGACAGAAGTTTGCTCCTGGGGTGAGTCCTCATGGAGGACCTGTAAGGCAGTACAGAAGGGAAACGTGAGGTGCAAGCCCCCACACAGAGTTTCCACTGGGGCGCTGCCTAGTGGAGCTGTGAGAAGAGGGCCAACATCCTCCAGACCCCAGAATGGTAGATCCATTGACAGGTTGCACTGCACACCTTAAAAAGCCACAGACACTCAATGCCAGCCCTGAAAGCAACTGGGAGGGGTCTTGTACCCTGCAAAGCCACAGGGGTGGACCAGCCCAAGCCCATGGGCTTGTATCAGCATGACCTGGACGTGAGACATGGAGTCAAGGGAGATCATTTTGGAACTTTAAGATTTGACTGCCCTGCTGGATTTCAGACTTGCATGGGACCTGTAGCCCCTTTGTTTCGGCCAATTTTTCCCATTTGGAATGGCTATATTTACTTAATTCCTAGACCCCCATTGTGTCTAGGAAGTAACTAATTTGCTTTTGATTTTCCAGGCTCATAAGCAGAAGGGACTTGCTTTGTCTCAGATAAGACTTTGGACTGTGAACTTTTGAGTTAATGCTGAAATGAGTTAAGCCTTTGGAGGACTGCTGGGAAGACATGATTGGTTTTGAAATGTGATGACATGAGTTGTGGGAGGGGCCAGGAGTGGAATAATATGGTTTGGCTGTGTGTCCCCACACAAATCTCATCTTGAATTGTAGCTCCCATAATTTCCACATGTTGTGGGAGGGAGCTGGTGGGAGGTAATTGAATCATGGACCTCGTCTTTTCCAGGCTGTTCTGGTCATAGTGAATAAGTCTCATGAAATCTGATAGTTTTATAAAGGGGAGTTCTGCACAGGCTTTCTCTTGCCTGCTGCCACGTAAGATGTGACTTTGCTTCTCCTTTGCCTTCTGCCATGACTGTGAGGCCTCCCCAGCCTCAGATATGTCTTATTAGCAGTGTGAGAACAGACTAATACAAAGGCATTGAGCTAATTCTTCAGAAAAGAGAATCAACTCCAGAAGCATTTCAATCAGAAGCCATGCTTTAGATTAATTTTTTTTCACTACCTCACTCCAAATAATATTTGAATTAAGTAGAATGTAGTTTATGAATATATATGAGTTCATGCATTCATGAAAATTATGTTATTTGCAGTCATCACCAAAATAAATTCCTGTTTTTACTAAGTAACATCCTAATTATATATTTACTTGGTAAAATATAGGTATATTTTTATTATGTGCAGTACTTTATATGGGGTTTGAGTTAATCTATATCTATGAAGTAAAGCAGTACAGTAAATTGTAATTTTCTGAGTTTTTAGGTGGTAATAAAACAACCTTGGAGAACACCTCAATGAGCATTACTAAAATATAATTTAATTCTAATCATAAACAGGTGTATAGAAAGAAAGAGCACTAGTAAAGATTTTATAGCCATGTTGGGAGACTGTATTTAGAAATGAAATGCATGCACCGATTCCGTGGCTTAATTGCCTGTTAATGTCATTGGGAACATTGCCATGTACAATTGTTTGTCAACCTTAACCTCAACATCACCACGCTACCCAAGTATTTTCTAATATATTCTGTTTTGGAAGGGTAGCTGGTACTTTTTCAAATGGGATTTTTAAAAATCTTCTTAATGTACCGTTTCTGAAGAGCCAGTTGTTTTGTGAAGTGATATTTAGTAGTGAATGTTTGTAAGTACTTTTATAAGGCTACCTAGGGATTTATGCCAACAAGAGAAAGGTGCCTCCTCTGGGCAGGTGAGGCATTGCAGTAGGATTTAGGAATGAATGAGGGCAAGGGAAAAACAGTGCTCCTTCCTTCTTGTGAGTAGGCCTTGTTTCAGGGTCATACAAGATATCAATAGAAATATTCCAGTCCCTAAATCTGTGCTTATTCTAATATGGCCCTGTAGGGAAGCTGATGTTTGGTGAGCCCAATCATTGGTCAGGTTATTTTAGCTCACTAACGTTTATTTTGTTATTTATTTTTTAAATTTATATTGTGAAGTAAATTAACTCTTACAAATGTAAAGATGACATTATGAGTGCGATAAAGATGACATTATGAGTATGGTCAGGGACCTAGAAAGTGTTGTATTCTCATCATATATCACAGTTTTTGGGAAAAAGTACTTTCTAAGTAAAGGCCTACAGAACATTTCTGCAGTGGGTAACACCATCTTCCCTCTGTGCAATCTATAATACAGCTGTTTGGTAATTCGAATTAGTTTTCTGTTGTTGTGTAACATATAATAATATGATTTCTGTAGGTCAGAAGTCCAGGTGGGCTCAACTGGGTTCTCTACTTAAGGTCTCAAAAGGCTGAGATCATGTGCCAGCTGGGATGAGCTCTTCTCCAATGGCTATGAGATTCTTACTGGATAATAAACTTTCCTTCAAACTTACATGCTATCACGCAATTTTCCCTTTATGTGTCCCTGGTATAATGCATATTATGCATATTTTCATTCCAACTCTTTGTTAGGAACTACAAATAAGGCATCAGTGACTGCCTAATAACCAAAACCTATCAATACTTTTTACCTTTTATCTTTCCGTCATTTCTTTGTGACATTTGACTATGTTCATCATTCTTTTACCTCTTAAAATTTTCTGTATTTTAGCTACTATTCCAGTATGTTGGTATTGGGTACTTTATAATCTTTATCTTAAAGTATCTTTCAATTAACTCATGCAGAATATATTAATAAATGATACTTGCTAGTCAGTGTGGTATTTTAGACACCAGGGATATTGAGAATATTATTTTGCCTTTGAGGCATTTGAGTGTTATTCATAAGACAAGGTAAGTAGATAATTGCATTATGGAAAATTACTGCAGAAAGAGGATTTTTTAGGGATAAGAGAGATTTTTTAGGGGCTACAAAACTGGTAGTTTAATCACTCTAAGAGGATCAGTGAAGGTTTCATAGGGAGGATAATGCATGGATTCAGTCTTGAGGTGAGGGATGAGTAAAGGTTGCCCTGCATATTCTCTTCTGATTCCAAATGTGTCTGAATTTGTGTATTAGGATTCTCCAGAGAAACAGAGCGATAGGGAGGATGCGTGGGTGTGTGTGTGTGTGTAATGTGTATGTGCACATACACACACTTACATATGTACATATATTGAGATCTGGAAATAGATTGATAAATAGAGAAAGAGAGAGAGAAAGAGAGAGGGGGAACAGGTAGATTTATTATAAAAAATTGGCTCACATGATTATGGAAGCTATCACATCCCAAATCTGCAGACTCTGTATCCCACTTTGAGTCTGAAGGCAGGCAGACTGCTATAGAACCAGAAAAACTCATGCAAAACTGTGAAGCAGGAGAATTCTCTGTCACTGGGGGGGAATTACTTTGGTTCTAGTCAGGCCTTCAACTGATTGAATGAGGCCCACTAACAATATGAAAGACTGTCTGCTTTACTCAGTCTCCTGATGCAAATGCTAATCTCATCCAAAAACACCTAGAATAATGTGTAACTATACATATCTGAGCACTCCATGGCTCAATCAAGTCCACACATAAAATTAACCATCACAGTACCATAGACTGTATCATTTGCACCGTTATCTGAGTGATCTTTCACAATATCTGGATCTCAAACCTGACTACACATTATATTTTTGAATCACCTCGAGTGCCATACCCACTGCTCATCTGAGATTCTGAGATTCATTTTTTCCTGGAGAAGGTCTTCAGCATTTTACATTCCAAACCAGTAGCTCTCAAAGTGTGTTCCATGGGAACAAATAATGCAGATCCTCAGGCCTTGGCCCAGATCTAGTGAATCAGACACTCTGTGGTTGAGGCCCAGCGACCCTGGTTGTACCAGGCCTTCCATCTGTTTCTCATTCATGCTAAAGTTTAAGGACCATTGCCCTATATGAATCCAATGTAAAGTTAAGGTTAAGAAACATTGTTTCTAACCACAATTTGATTTAAATCATAGCTCCATTTAGTTCCAATCCTATGACAAACATATGCACAGAGATACGTACACATTTCCTGATTGTCTAAGAAATAAACTCCACGTGTATCAATTTCCTTAACAAGACTCAGCCCTCTCTGTTTTCAGCTTAATCCTCTGAAAAATGTGTATTACGCTTTTCATCATAGTCTCCAAACAGGCCAGGTTTTTTCAATAATTTCATAACCCTTTCATCTTTCAGTGACCTGTTTTCATTTTGCTCTGCTTTCCAAAGTTATTTACTGGTAAGAACTGTTTCAAATGTCACAACTGTAAAAGTTTTTCAACAACTTAGACAAATGTACAGTTTCTTTTCTTCCACAGTTAAATGTTCTGCATGCATTAAGTATAACACTTATTGCATTTCATTGTAGTATTTTTTCACCTCTATGGGCTTGTAACCATGTCAAGTTTAGAAATCTGGTCTAACTTATCTTTGTTCATCATAGTATTGTCAAATACTTAGTGAATGTCTTGGTGTATAGAACGTGGTTAGTAAATTTTGTTAAATACATAAATATAATTTGCTCCTAGTTTCTCCACCCATCATACCAGCTCAACAACTTCATGATTCACTACACAATTTATTCTTCATTTAATGCAAATATCCTATTTAACCTTGTTCTGTGCACTAAATGTAAAAATTTCTTTGACCTGGTCAGTTCACCAAAAGGAAACTCTAATCATTCATTGCTTGTATAATAGATAAATTTCCAAAAGAGCCAAAGTTTGGGAGATGATACTTTATTGAAACTTTCAATGTGTCTGAAAGCTTCTGCTATTTCCAGAATTTACAAATGAAACAACAAAAATTGCATATTGTATACATTGCTTCAGCTCTCTTTTTCACTTGTGGACATAAGAGTCCACAAACCAATGTTTGTGTTTTCTTTATTCATTGAGTCTTTTTAGTTATTTTTTTCTCGACTCTCATGCAAACATATCCAAAGACTAGAATCCACAAATTTCAAATGTAATCCAACTGTTAATGTCAGATAATAGAAATGAAATTTAGTGTTTGTGAGTGTATTCCTTGTTGCCCTTTAATATGAAGTTATTTTTGGTTAGCAGCTGCATCTAAGAATATAAAAACCCGTCACCTCGGAGTGAGTATTTTTAAGTCCCTGTAGCTTATAAACATTATTTTATTATTATCAATGTGCTTATTTTGATGTATGCAATTTGTCTTCCACAAATGTGTTTGTATTACCAATTTCCCTTAGCACACAAAGAGATCCTAATTAGCACTTTTACTTAGCTCGCGAAGGGAATAGCACAGAAAGAAATCAGTATTGCCTTAACCAATGATCAAAAGTAATCAAACAAAATGCTTTTCAGGAATATTGTGTATACATATATGTATCAATCCATTGCCATATAACAGATTACTTCATAATGTAGTAACAGAAAACATCAATAAACAATAGTGTGTTACCCAGTTTCTTTGGCTCAGTAATAAGGGAACAGCTTACGTGGGTTATTCAGGTTCAGAGGTATTCAAGAGGTTGTCACCCAGATTTTGATTAGGGCTGTAATTATTTCAAAATGTGACTGGGCCCCAGGGAGATGCTTCCAACATGTCTCACTTACATAACTAGCAAGTTGGTGCTGGTTTTTGGCAAAGAACTCAGTTTTTCACATCATGGACTCCTTCATAGGACTGCTGAGTGTCTTGATTGTCATGGCAGCTGGCCAACTCAGAGTGAGTTATCCAAGAATGAGTGACCTGAAGGCAACCATCTTCTTTATGACCTAGCCTCAGAAATTACACATTGTTACTTCTGCAATATTGTATTTAATATTATTAAATATGGAAAACCTTGTTAAATATGGAAAGCCATTATACAAGGATATGAATACCAGGCTGGAATAATTGGTATCGTCTTGGAGGTGGCTGCCAGAATTTGTTCGAATGTTTTTACTTATATGTAAAAAAGCACACAAGTAAAAATAATTGAATTTGTTCTCAAATTTAAAAGAGATTTATTGGCTCATGTATCTGTAAAGTGTATAGGTAAATTAAGCTATGAGTTTGCTTTGATCAGGTATCTGTCTCCAATTCTCCCTGATTTTTCATCTTCTGAATTTTTTAACGTCACCTTTTTCCTTCATGTTGCTATATTATAGTAACAAGTAACAAATTGTATGTTAACTTGTAACATGGTAATAAGATGAGTGACGCTAAAGTTGGGTTCATGCATTCTCATTCACAACCTGGGGAGATAAATTGTCATTTTACATAGCCATTAAAAATGTTGCTGCTTTCAGTTTTTTTTTAATGTATTAATCTCCTTTCACTGCCTTAAAAATGTATTTAATACATGAAATTTGTCCATAAGTGGATGAATTATTGTAACAAAATGAAAGGCATGTGGACACTGACTCAGGACCATCAGGCCTATATTTTTATTATTGCTCATGGTTAACTCCTTTCATACCTTTTAGGTTCTACACAATAAGGAGCAATTTGATGAGACAATCACAATATCCACCACATTTACTTAATGTGCCAATACATTTGATGATTTATTAATTGCAATATCCCAGTGTTAGTATCATATTGTAAGACAATTAGAACAAGTTTCTTTATTCAAAAGAAACTTCAAATCACTCAAATAATTTTACACAGCATTGCTAGATATTTATTTTATAGGTTTCCTTTCATTAAATTTCTAATACCTCTTCCAATTTCTTTACATGTATTGTATCAGATAACATTGCTTCTCCAAAAACTTATAAAATAAGAGCAATCAGAAAGGGGTTTCCATATTCCCGTGCCATCCTATATATCAACCTAGCTAGTGGATGTTGATATCTGTAAATATGGCTTTTTTCAGGTTCCTGAAATGCACTGTCCATGCCAAGTCTCTGGCCACTCCTTCACATGACCTTATACTGTTCTTATTTGTTTGCTGTGAGACAATGCTCTTTCTATTTTATCCTGTTTCCTGAATTCTTACTTTTTCACTGTCTAAAGCATGCCCCTGTCCTCAAAAACATGCTTTATTTTCTATCTGAAAATAAAATTAATTCATGCAAAGCAAACAAAACCTGAAAACATCTGTTGATCTAATATTCTCCTCCAAATACATCTCTGTTATCTCATTCTTTTGACTGAAAAGCTCCTTGAAATAATTTACTCTGTTCACAGTTTGTACTCTCTTTTCTTCCATGCTGTTTTAAATCCATTCTAACAAGACTCTTGACTTTGCTACTTCAGCACAATCATTCTCAACCTCCATGTTGCAGAATCCAAAGCCTAATCCTATTCCTCTACTCAACAAAGCATCAACATTTGATACGATTAACAACTCTTTCAAGAAAAAGATTCTTTCTTTGGCTTACGGACATAATATCCTTTTGATTAACTCCATCCTTCATTGGCTCTTCTTTCTGCATGCTGTTTAGTTCCTCCTCGCTTCTCTATGTATTGAATTGTGAGACACCAAGTTTTACACTTTAAATGTATCTTGAGTTGTTGCCAAGGTGATTTCATTCAGTCTCATGGATTGGATAGCTCTCAAATTTTAATCTGCAGCTGCAATGTTATTTTTCCCCTGAATTCCATATTGGCCACTTTAATATCTCCTCCTGGAGGTCTCAAACTCGACATGCTGCAGGTAAATCTCTGTAAAATCTGATTTCTCCCTCAATCTTCTTCAGATGTCTTATCTATCTTTGGAATGATGACTATAGTCCAGATTGCTCATATAAACCATGCAGTCATTTGTCTCTTCTCTCTCATGTTCCACATCCAATCCATTGGAAACTTTTGTCAGCTATACCTTTAAAAACTATTTATAAGTCAACTATTTCCTATCATTTATCTCACTTCCACCGCAGTTCGAACAACTTTCACCCCTTACCTGGGGTATTTTAAGAGCTTTCTTTGGGTCCTAACCTTAGCTTCCTTTGGGCTTTGGGTCTTAATCTTAGACTTCTTGTTATTCACCCAGCTGTCATAATGTTCCTTTTAAAACATAAGTGATACTACATACTACTAAGTCAAATCAAATACTTCCAAATAAATGAAAATATGACACTCATAATGAATGAACCAAGATACAAACCCAGGCACTCACACATATACAAATATCTTGTCGAAAGTTAAAGATAAGGAATGTCTTCTGTTTTCACCTTAGTTCTGGGTAAAGGAAATGAAAATAAAAAAATGTTAATCATCAGAAATTATGTATAAGGTACTTCTTAACTATTGCTTCAGATCATCTTGGTGTCAACAACCCAGTGACAAGCATAAATGCGGAATATTTTCAATAATTTATAATATTTAGTATTTCAATAGAAGCAATACATTGATAAAGTTTATGTTGTTACTAAAAGTTCATTGGAAAGAACTTTGTTAGAATGATGCATTAGAAAAATGTTGTCAAATGGAAGTCTAACATTTAAAAAAAAAGACCCAAAAAAATACATTGGCTACAAATTTAATGCCTCAGAATACATCACTCTTGTTAACAAGTCAGCTTTCATGGAGAGCAATTTACATAGTAAAATTACCATTTTAATGTGTAAAGTATAATGAATTTTGCAGAGGCATCTAGTCACTTTCCACAACCTTCGTCCACAAAAGTTAAAGGGATTTCTCTTCTCTCACCTCCAAGTCCTGGTAACTACCTATAGTTTTGCCTTTTTCAAATGTAATGAGAATGACAAGTAGATACTGTGGACACCTTTGAGTCATTCTTTTCAGGAAGCTTTTGCGTTAATGAGTCAAGTTTATGAGTCAAGCTTATGAGTCATTATTTTCAGGAAGCCACACCTGGCTAATTTTTGCATTTGTTTTTAATAGAGACAGGCTTTCACCATGTTGGCCAGACTGGTCTCGAACTCCTGATCTCAGCTGATCCACCCACGCCAGCCTCCCTAAGTGCTGGGATTACAGGTGTGAGCTACCGTGCCCAGCCCAATTTTGTTTGTGTGTGTGTGTGTGTGTGTGTGTGTGTGAGAACACACATTTTAACTTGTCTTGGGTAAATAGCCAGGTGTGGGATTGTCAAACAAAATACCATGTTCGAGTTTATGGAAACATGCCAAATTGCTTTCCAAACTGGCTATACAACTTTGCATTACCATCAGCAGTTGCTTCACGTCTTCCGCATGTGTTGCCAGGGTATTTTTCCCCGTCATTCTAATAAGTATGTAGTGACATCTTATTGTGGTTTTTATTTGCATTTCACCACAGAGAAATGATGTTGAAAATATTTTCATGTGCCATCTGCATTTTCTTCTTTGGTGGATTTTCTGTTCAGGATTTTGCAAAATTTTATAAAGTTATTTAGATTTTTATTGTTTGAATTTGAGATTTTAATATATGCAGATATATGAGTTAATCAGATGTTCATTTTTTTGAATATATTCACATATTTGTGTCTTATCTTTTCATTTTCTTAATGAACGCTGTATTTAGTGAGTTTTTCAAAGAACATTTTCTTGAAAATTACAATTTATTGGAGGTGGAGCCAAGATGGCCAAATAGGAACAGCTCCGGTCTACAGCTCCCAGCGTGAGCGATGCAGAAGACAGGTGATTTCTGCATTTCCATCTGAGGTACCGGGTTCATCTCACTAGGGAGTGCCAGACAGTGGGTGCAGGACAGTGGGTGCAGCACACCATGCGCGAGCCGAAGCAGGGCGAGGCATTGCCTCACTCGAGAAGCGCAAGGGTATATTGCGGCACTATTCACAACAGCAAAGACTTGGAACCAAGCCAAATGTCCAACAACGATAGACTGGATTAAGAAAATATGGTACATATACACCATGGAATACTATGCAGCCATAAAAAATGATGAGTTCGTGTCCTTTGTAGGGACATGGATGAAACCGGAAACCATCATTCTCAGCAAACTATCCCAAGGACAAAAAGCCAAACACCGCATGTTCTCACTCATAGGTGGGAATTGAACAATGAGAACACATGGACACAGGAAGGGGAACATCACACTCTGGGGACTGTTGTGGGGTAGGGGGAAGGGGGAGGGATAGCACTGGGAGATATACCTAATGCTAAATGACGAGTTAATGGGTGCAGCACACCAACATGGCACATGTATACATATGTAACAAACCTGCACATTGTGCACATGTACACTAAAACTTAAAGTATAATAATAATAAAATAAAAAAAGAAAATTACAATTTATTGGCTTTTTTATGTTTTTTCTTTTGTGTTTTTTTCGAATAATTCTTTGCCAAACAAAAGGTAACAAAAATTTCCTTTATTAGTTTTATATATTTAAACTTTGAGGTTTTATATTTATATCTATGGTTTCCTTTGGGCCATGTTTTATATATGATGAGTGGTAAGAGTCAAGTTTAATTTTCTTTAATATGAATTTACAATGGATCCACCATTTGTCTTAATGCTATCATTTTCTCAATTAATTGTTATGGCTAGTTTGTCCATAAACCCTTGAGCATTTGTGTATTTATCAATTTCTGGGCTCTCATTGGTACCACTGACAATGTATATACTAATACTACGGTGCTATGATTGCTATAGTTTTATAATGACACAAAATCAGATAGTGTGAGTTCTCCTACATTTTTCTTCCTCCTTTTTGAAATTGTTTGGGTTATTTTAGAACAGTTTTTGTTGCATATAACTTTTAGAATCAGCTTATCAAATTATTCAACAATATCGGATTTTTGGTTGGTATTACACTGAATCTAAGTTTCAATTTGGGAGCATGGACACCTCAATGAACAACATTGAGCATTTTATCCATGAGTAAACACAGTATGTTTTCAGTTATCTAGGTCTTTTAAACATTTCTCAAAGCAACATATGTAGAATTCAGCATACAAACATTTCACGTATTTGTTTTCATGTTTATTCATGTTATATAAGTTAGATGTTAAAATCTTCCTTTACTTTCATTCTGATAGAAATATATGTAAATACCGAACTTGTATCCTGTGATACTGCTAGACTGTTTTAATAATTCTATTTTTTTGTATATTATATGGTATTTTCTTCATAATCATAATAAATCTTCATAGATAATAAATCTTCATAGATAATAAATTTGTTTATTTTGCAATTTACATCACTTTTATTTCTTTTACTATTTACTCTAACTATAACCCTAAAGATAGTGTTCAGGAGAAGTTCTGAGAGCATATATCCTTACATTTCTGTTTATTTCTGATCCTTGGGATAAAGCATTCAGTATTCACTGATAAGGGTGATCATAGTTACAGTTTTGTTCAGGTTGAGAAAGTTCCTTCTATTTGTAACTTGCTAAGTGTTCTTTATTTCTTGTTAAAAATGTCATATTTGTTAACTTTTATTATGTGTGTATTGAATGTGTGCAGTGAATTATATTCACTGATTTTTAAATGTTAAACAACCAGTCTTCTTTTCCTAGGATATCCCTCACTTGGTCATAATGAATGTATTATCAAAGCCTGAGATAGTCCTGGGGCTCAGATTATGTAAGTCTCTTCTCCCAGAGAGCATTCTTAGCATTATCTATTTTCTTTTTTATATATTTTATTCCATTTTACGATCCTTTGTGATGGCAGGCCAGTTTTAATCAGTTGCTCTTTCCTGACTAAGGTGGATTTTTTTTTTAAGTTCTATTTCCAAACCAGTCAAACTTCTTATTGTAATTATGTAGTTTATTTAAATATTAAACAAAATAATGGGATATACGCACAGAATGGATTCAGAATTTGTGTAACGTACTTTAAGTTGAAAGTTTCCCAAGACTTCATAAAAGAGATTTGCTAAAATTATGTTCCAATTAAGGAGAACAGTTAGGCAATTATAAAATCTCAGGTAATTTTATAGAATTAGAAGTGTTGCCACGCTTAGTGTTTTGAAAGAATCTTCAAGTTCTTCCCTCACTTAGAATCAATCAATTTTGGGCTTCATAAATAGCTTCATAAATAACTCAGTGTGTTATCTTTACAAGAATGGTGGTGTTAACCCCGAACAGCAACAAATCTGTTCTCAGAGTTAGGTCCATACTCCTACATTGAGAGATTGCAGTTTGATGAATAATTATGCATTTCAATATATTTATACAAACATTTAAAATATATATATCATTATTTTTATTAATTATTTTACATAGTAGCTGTTTTGCTTTAATTAACATTATTATTTTTGATGTTGATTCTATCTGATAAGGAAATTTTTATTATAATTAGATTGCACACCCAGAAAAAGAAAGAATAAACTTATAATCCATTTTGTTAGTAAAGTTCTAAGCAGCATTAAAAATATGATTGTAATTATAAATGCAAAAGACAGCATAAAAGTTCATCACAAGGTAAATCCTATATACTCTATAAAGATAAAAGATAGAAAAGTTCACAGGCGTTATACACAAATAGGCCAAGATAGAAAAAACATGTTAAAACTGAATTATTACAAAAAGTAGAAAATAAATGTTATATTTGGTAGATTTTCTTATATAATTGAGTGGGCCAATTGTGACATTTTCACAAGAATAGAATACATATTTTTCGTTTACTTTATAATCAATACAATTTCTTACATTCTCTCAATGTAATTACTTTCAACTAGAGGTAAATTACTTTGACTTTGTAGTTCTGGTTAACGGAACAAAGTGTTCATTCCTAACAGCAAAGGCACAGCTTTAATTTTAAAGCTTCTAACTCCTGTTACTCTCAGGTAATAATATTAATGATATATATAAGGAATTATTGGAGGATTTATAGGCAACTGGAACAAAATAATGTACTGAAAAGAGTCAAGATTCATTTTAAATAATTCACTTCAATCTAGAATTTGTATGATAACTATGTAATAAATGAGAGCACTTACTGTAAACTGACAAAAGTTGAATAAATATATGGGATAAGTTTTATGTGATGTGTTTCTAAATGCTTTGTAATTTTTGAAATATTTCTACACGTGTTATGCTCCTTCCTATGAAATAACAGACCTTAAACACAGAGTTGGTTTAATATTCTGTTGCATAAAATTCACAGAATGCTTTATTTTAAAACTTTTTATATGGATACAGTAAAGGGATATTTGAGGAGTAATTTATTATATATGATATACACCTTTCATATAAATTATAGCAAATTATTTTGAATACAATATTTGATTTTTTTTACTGATATTTAAATAATATATTTAAAAAAGAGAAAAAGAAGCATATTAGTGGCACCAGCATGTACCAGACATTGTGAGAGTTTTACATATAAATTATTGTTTAAGTAGATTTAATAGTATTATAAAGTAGTTTATAATATGTATTAATTGATTTAGCTCACTTTTTTTTAACTAAAACTTAATATGACTTTCATATACAAGATTTTACAATGGAAAAACTACTCTCATTTCAAATCAAACAAATACACTTAAGTGGATAGTTTGTTTTCATTTGAGCACCTGTTTGCAAAACTTATTGTTACATGTTTATTAAAGAAAATAATGGAAACATATTTGTTAACAAACAAAGCATTAACCAAGCACGTTAAAATGTCCCAGCATCAGCCCACAGTAAGTATTCAAAAGAATGAGAGTAATTTTAGTTCTAAATTTTCCTATAAGGAAATCTTTTCATAGAAATCTAAATCAGACAGACCAAAAATACAATTTATAAACCATCTTTATTCTCATGGGCATTTATGAAACTTAGACAGCTATAAATGTGATTATTTAAGTTCATATTCCCTGTAAATTTTTATTATAGTAGTAGATAAGTCTTTTCATTTTGAGTGAATTTTCATAATGAAAGCAATAAAAGCACATTTTAGGAAAATAATCTGCAATATTATATTAACCTATTTATATATTTGACAAATATTTTTAATACTAATTTTCGAATATGAATAATCAGATTAGAAATCTACCAAATTCCCTAGAAGGCATACACTCATAGACATGATTTAGATTGTTTGGGTGGCACATATTTAAATAATAATGGCTTTGGGCTAAAAGTAAATTAAAGATTTAAGTCATGATATTTAAGAAAAAATTAGTATTTATTTTTTCCATTCAATGTCCATAAGTGGGAAATCTGGAAGAATGGCATATTTTGTTGTTCTGTGTTCTCCAGAGCCCATCATAGTGTTACGCACATATCAGTCTTTCCAAAAGTAATCACTGGATAAAATGTATTGTTTCTCAAGTTATAAAAGATCTTCTACATATTGTAGCATACAGCTTCCACTTGCACTGCAATAGCACTTTCTCTGTATCACTATCTCTAGAGGGGGCACTCTGATGACATGAGTCCCTATTGTATTAATGTTGCATAAAGCACAGATGATTTTTATATAGCATAGTTGGTGCTGGAAAATACATGCATATATTTTGGCTTTGTTTCTATTTTAATATTCAGAAATTATTAAGATGTACATTCTGCTTTTTCCCAGGCTCAGTATTATAAAGTTGACATAGTTACCGTTAATTGTTTCTCAAAAACACAACTTGGCAAGTTAAATAACTCTTATTATAGGCTTACAAATTAAATAATTAATGCACATCAATAAATTGCAAATAATTTATTGAAGTTCTGCTCCTGAAGAGTGCTGAGAATATGATTTATATTTATGTTTGCATGATTTCAATATATTTTATTTACTCTGCTGTCAAAAGAATATGAAAATTGTTTTCTAGAAATGAAGCATAAATATAAAAATTATAATAACAATAATAGAAATAGTGCTTTAAGGTCTTAAGGAATTATCCAATTTTAGCCTTAGCAAAATGCTTGTAAATCCCATGAATAGGTTTACATTTTATAGGTAGAGTGATTGACATTTAAAGGGTAAAATACTGACCCAAGGACACAAGAAATAATATATAGAGACCCATGGGTAGTTTTCAGTTCACAACTACAGAAATATCTCATATCATAAAATACCAGAATGCTGCAAGAAGGCTGTGAGTGGCTATAAAGTGACAGTGAGTTTTCACTCGTAATTGTCTGAAATCACAGCCACATTTTTATACATCATCCTACTTTTAGTAACAGACAGCAGTTATTGAATTTGCACCAGAAATTACTTTAAATTTACTCTAACATTTTGTTTTTCGTAATTCCTGTGGTTGCCCCTGACAGGGCAGGCAGTATCATGAGTCACATGCTCAATAAGGTAAGATTAAATTCTGTTTCCTACAGGACACTGAATGATAGTAGGTATATAGACGAAACTGATATTACCCTGATCCCAAATGCTATGCTTTTAATCATTGTTACAGAATAGTGATTGTACATTAGGGATGTAAAGTAATATTGGGTCATAATGGACAGAGTCTATGTTGAAGCAGAAGGATTTAGCTTCCTGTGCCCAAGTGTGGAATGCATGAAAAGACATTCCAGTCCCAGGGGAAAGCTGCAACAAGGCAGAGGTAGGACAGTGAGAGGTGACAGCTGATAGCAGTCAACTGCTTGCTTGTTCTTTTATTCAAATTCCTCCTCAAGATATGGTTTTTCCAGAATCCTTTCATAGAAAACACAGTTTCTTACTTCACTGGAGTTGCTTTTAACCCTGCCTTTTCAGAAAAAGAGCAGAGATTTGGCCAGGCGCGGTGGCTCACGCCTGTAATCCCAGCACTTTGGGAGACCGAGGCCGGCGGATCACGAGGTCAGGAGATGGAGACCATCTTGTCTAACATGGTGAAACCCCGTCTCTACTAAAAACACAATAAATTAGCCGGGCGTGGTGGCGGGCGCCTGTAGTCCCAGCTACTCGGGAGGCTGAGGCAGGAGAATGGCGTGAACCCGGGAGGCGGAGCTTGTAGTGAGCGGAGATCGCGCCACTGCACTCCAGCCTGGGCGACAGAGCGAGACTCCATCTCAGAAAAAAAAGAGCAGAGAGTTACTTACTCAGGAACAAGTAAGGTTGCTGATACCTATGACTAGAGCTTACAAAATTATTCTTACCCCAGATTTTTAAAAGAGATTGCTTTTGTCTGCTTAAAATTGGGAGATACAGGAATACATAAAATCTTTTATGATATGTAGAATAGAAAATATATATGTATGTAGTGGTAATAGTCAAAAGAAGTAGAATATAACCCTTTGCTGAGATAAATCATTTAAACTGTGTCAATTTCAATTTTTTATAATTTATAAAATAAGCATTTTGACTAATTATTATGTTAGTTTTGAAATAATGTAATAACAAAATAAAGTGATATTTAATGTTAGTTTCTAAAAGAAGTTTTAGCATTTTCATGATAAGTAAACATATATTTAAAGCAAGTAATTTAATTTAATGTATATATTCATTTATCAATATAATATATAATTAATATAATAATATACAAGCATCATATTATCTTTTACTATAAGTAGATAATCAGTTATTAACTATGCCAATATAAATTATATATGAAGGTATTAATATATTACTTTCAAGATGTCATAACTTTTTAACATATATATAATGTAATTCTTGATATCTACAAAGATGTTGCAAAATACAATAATAAACAGATTTTAACACATCTCTGTACTTAAGAATTAGAGTTACAAAAGCATTATCCTAAACATTATCTTATTAGTTTTACAGTATAATATTTACTTTTACGTGTTGTTTTCTATTTTTACAAAATTTTACAATACTTGAATGCAGTCTTCTGACACATTTCTGAGAACAACAATTTGTTTCTAAGATTGCTTCACATGGTGGCTGTGTTGTTATTTATTTTCTGTATGATATAAATGCATCAAAGTTTTGTATCCATTCAGGAGTTGTTGAATATTTTTATTTTCCTATTGTCGTTGTTGCCATTAATTGTACTGATAGTATGTATATTCAAGAGTTTTCCTATAGGTATAAATCAGGGAAATTACATCATCTAGAGCATGAGAATATACAAGTTATTCCTTATGAGTTAACTTTATAGGCCTTTCTTTGTCTATATTCAATCCAGCATTTGGAGAAATCTTGCCAAACTTCTTAGTATTGTGTTAGTCTGGCTTATGTTAAGTGATAACTTATTTTGATTAACCTACTTTTTTTCATACTAATGAGACTGATTTTTTTTCATGTTTATTTTTTATTTATATTATCTCCTATTAACTGTTGGCCATTAATATTTGCCTATTTTTATATTGTGTTGGCTTTTAAAATTGTTTCAATATGTTAAATTATATATTACAGATACAAGTCCTTTGTCAGTTACGTGTGCCACAAATGTGTTCACCCAAATTGTAATTTTTTTCCTCTTCATGATATATTTGGAGAAAATGAGTAAGAAATCATGTTTTAGTGCAATCAAATTTATCAATTCTTCCTTCTTGTTTTAGTGAATTTTGTGTTTTGAAATTGTGCATGTAACTTAAGTGCACATATTAATGCTAACCATTTTTCCCAAAATATGTATGATTTTGCCTTATATACTTGTCTTTAATAATTTAAAACATGTTTTTGTGTAAGTGTAACATAAGATCAATGTCATTATTCTTATTGTTACTACTACTATTATTATTATGTGAATAACAAGTTGTACTATTTATTGATTAACCCGTACGTTCACCATTGATCTGTAATGCCATCATCACCATATATTAAATTTCTATGTATAGTGGGTCTTTGGCTGGGTTCTGTTTTGTGTTTCTGTTCTGTTTGTCTATCCCTGTGACATAGTCGTAGGGTGTTAAGTGTAGTAAGCCTTGATAAATGGTACAGCAACTCTCCTTTTTTTTTTTTTTTTTTTTTTGAGAAGGAGTCTCACTCTGTCACTCAGGCTGCAGTGCAGTGGCGTGAGCTCAGCTCGCTGCAGCCTCCGCCTCCCAGGTTCAAGTGATTCTCCTGCCTCAGCCTCCCCAGTAGTTGGGAGTACAGGCATGCACAAACACACCTGGCTAATTTTTGTATTTTTACTAGAGACGAGGTTGCTCCATGTTGGCCAGGCTGGTCTCGATCTCCTGACCTCAGGTGTTCCTCCTACCTCAGCCTCCCAAAATACTGGGATTACAGGCGTGAGCCACCATGCCCGGCGTGCAATTCTGCTTTATTCCTCTTCTTCATACAAGTCTGAATTATCTTAGTGTTTATAAATATTAGAAGCAGTTTTCAATTGCTATGAACAACTTTCATTGGATTTGTATTAGATTACATTGGAAATACCATCAATCTGGATGGTATGTCCTTATTTGTGACATTTTGTCTCTTTAACCGCAGACGTAATACAGCTCTTAATATCTTTATATCTTTTTTAATGAAATTCAGTAAAGTATTCTGCATATGGGTCTTTCATATACTTTGTTAGATTTATTCATAGGTTCCTTTAATTCTTAGATTTTTCACCATTAAGAATGATGTATGATGCAATTTTTCTTGTCATTTGTTGTTTTATTGGATGGTTTTTAGAATATATGAATATTGCATTTTATTTTTTGTATTTCTTAATATGTTCTTGAGTGATTATGTATATGCTTTATCATCTTTCATTTAATTCACTAACTTGTGAATAACTTTTATTGTATCTTTATGAAAATTTACTTCTTTTCTGTACCTCTTCCGTCTTTTTTTGTTGAGCTAAACAAACATTCCTGGGACAAAACTGATCAAGAATTATCAAGAACAACTCAGTGGAGTGTGTTTACTATTATTTTGTTTAGGCAGTTGACACTTAATATGTGTCGTGAGTGGTAGTGTCTAGTATTGGTTCCAAAGTTTCACAAGCAAAATAAATAAATAAATAAATAAAAATTTTGAAATATTTCCTCTTTCTTATATTTTCTAGGGAAAAAATGTGTAGACTGTAATTACCTGTTACTTTAAGTAAAAAATCTGGGACAAATTTTTTTCTCTCTTTGCAAAAATTAACTTTTTACTGAAAAATTTATTTTCTCTAGTTACTTTAATACAGCACTACTTAGATTTTCTATTTATTTTAGAGCTACTTGACACTTTTTAACCCATCTATTTTCTTACTATCATGAATAACTTCTCTATAAGTATTTATTCCCTTTTTCCCAATATTGTTGTATCTTTTTTACTAGTCTTATTATTAATGTATTGTATGTTGTTACAATTTAAATTTGAATTGCTTCAGAGAATGACAGATACATTAGCAAAGAGAAAGCCAGACAGAGAGATTTAATTTGTTCATTATGTATTCTGAATCTCTAGCTTGGACTTGTAAAATATACCAGACATTTATGTTTTTGTTACATCTCAGAATTAATAAACCCACTGAAAAGATAAAAAGTCTTAGTTTAAGATGTTTTTGAAACTATTGAATATATTTTGATATCTACGAGAGTTACATGTAAATTGCATGTATGAATCTCATGCTAAATTTTGATTTCAATTATTATTTATTTTTCCCCGAGCGTGACTTAACATCACACTCTGCATATATTCTGCCATAAGAAAATGATTCTTTGTGTAAAGAAATTTATTTTTTGTTTTCTTTGAGTTTAGTTAGATTTGAACATTAAACTTTTTTAAAGATTAGGTAATTATTTTTTACCAACTGCTGTGTTTTTCTTAGATTAATGATGAAACCAATTGTTCATCCTGTAGACTCTGACAGCATACAATGAATTCTGACAACTTTCTCCCACTCAAGTTCCTGATAACATGTAATTTCCTTGATATGACAAAATATCATTTTGGCATTCATGTCATGCCATGGTGTTCATTTTTCATTTTCCTGTAAGTTAATGAGTTCTAGCAAAGAGCGCCTTCATAAAGTTGTCGTTTGCCAAAAGTCCAGCTATGGCATATGGAACCAGTGACAAGCTACAGTATTAAAGAGATTTGTTTTAAACCGAGCCTCTAAAGTGTGCATGGAAATACTAAATACATTCCTGTGTATTTTGCAGATAATCCTGATTTGCTGAGCCATGTCACAGTGGGTATTAGAGTTCTGGATGTCAATGACAATCCACCCGAACTTGCCAGGGAATATGATATTATTGTATGTGAAAATTCTAAGCCTGGCCAGGTAAGTTAATTGTTTCCTTCCTCCTCATTTGAATGGAATAAATGCAAGCGCCTTTATTTTTATTATTCTTAGGTATAATCCCCCAAAGCCCACAGTGTAATTTTGTACTCAGTGGAAATAATTTCATAAAGCTTTATTTTAAGTACCAAATAATTTTTGGAGAATCAAAGCAATTGAATTTTCTTTGGATCCGAAATGTAACTCAGAAAAATGAATTCATTCATGAATGCTGCACAAATTATACCAATAAAATGATATTGAATGCTTTATGTCCAACCCTACTTTAAGTGAGGAGGAAATAGCAAACGTTTCTCTCTTAATGAGGTTGATGGACTTGATTGTGTCAGAGGGACTAGCTCTATTTTGGAGGATCTGCAGGAGTGACACAGGAATGATGATTGAGTGATGCTGATGCTAAACGATGATTCAATTTTAGAAACATGAAGAGTATATATGTATTAATAGGGTGGTGAGAGTGAAGATGGATCTGGATCATGGGGCAAGAGGCTGGATGTCATGTGCATCTAGTCAAAGAAGCATGGCAATTTGGAAGGCTGGTTGCCTATAGCAAATAGAGCAAGTAGGAGACTGAAAGGGGTTGTGCATTTGTTTTTCTGCTGTATAAGAAATTATACAAAATCCGCAACTTAAAACAACATGTATTTATTATCTCACAGTTTCTATAGGTCAGAAATTTGTGCATGGCTTAGCTGGGTCTTTGCAAGAGTCTCGCAAGACTATAATCAAGGTGTCTGCTAGGGCTGTTTTCTCGCCCGAGGCTCAGGGATCTCTTCCAAGTTCATAGGGCTGTTGGGAACATTCAGTTTCTTTCTGATACAGACCCGAGAAAGTCAAGACTTTCCTTTACTCCTCAAGGCTGCCCATATCTCTGAGATACCACAAGCAGTTGCTTGCCATTTGGACCTCCCCAATATGTCCAGTTATTTCATCAAGCAAATAAGAGGAGCAAGCCTGCAGGCAAAACAGCCTCATATAATGTAATGTAATCAAGTGAGTCATGCATCAACACATTTGCCATATTCTGTTTTCAGAACCAAGACACAGGTCATACCCACACTGAAGGCAGAGGGATTACAGGAAGGCGTGCATTCCAGGAGCAGCACCTTAAAATCTATCTGCTGTGGATGAATCCAGAAGTGGAAAGGGTATAGGTCAAAATATGCCCTTTCTGAGTCAAAAGTACTCTATTATTGTCTTTAGTGAACCCAAATGAGTATACCTTCCCAAATCATGCCAAGTCATTTTGAAACTTGTGCTGAAATTATACTCCTGAGAAGCATCCTTTTTTGTGTTTATGTATGAGGGACAATTGTGAGGCTTGCTAAAGTAATCATTACCTATTTGTTTTTAGTCCCGTCAGGGAAAAATATATGTCTATCTCAATGTCTGGCTTTGTAACATAAAGCTTTTTTCATGTTCACTGTTGTTAAAATAAAAAACTCTAGACATAATACATTTAAAAGGGCTTATTTAAGCAAAAAATGAGTAACAAATTGGGCTACACTCACAATCAGAAGAAGTTTAAAGAGCTCCATCCAGCAGTGTGAGCAACAGGCTTTCAAAGGCTGAACACAGAAGCCAAGTAGAGAAATTACCTGACCGGGTACAGCTAGGCGTTTGCTTTATTTGGGCATTAGTGACCAGTTGGCTGTCTTGTAATTGCCTGAAACCCAGCTATTTGTTACTAAAATTATATTCCTAAATTAGGTTTCTTTTAGTTGGCATAATGTATTAGTCAGAGTTCTCTAGAGAGACAGAACTAATAGGATAGAAGTATATATGAAAGGGAGTTTATTAAGGAGTATTGACTCACACACCATCACAAGGTGAAGTCCCACAGTAGGCCCTGTGCAAGCTGAGGAGCAAGGAAGCCAGTCTGAGTCCCTAAACCTCAATATTAGGGAAGCCAACAGTGCAGCTTTCAGCCTGTGGCCAAAGGACTGAGATCCCCTGGTAAACCACTGGTGTAAGTCCAAGAATCCAAATCTGAAGAGCATGGAGTCTGATGTTCAAGGTCAGGAAGGATCCAGCACAGGAAAAAGACGAGGGCCGGAAGACTCAGCAAGTCTGCTCTTCCATCTTCTGCCTGTTTTATTCTAGCCTGTCTGGCAGCTGATTAGATGGTGCCCACCCAGATTGAGGGTGGGTCTGCCTCTCCTAGTCCACTGACTCAAATGTTAATCTCCTTTGGTAACACCCTCACAGACACACCAGGAACAATGCTTTGCATCCTTCAGTCCAATCAAGTTGACACTCAATATTAACCATCAAACATATTTAGGTAGCATTTTGTTACACAGAAACTAAAAATGCAATGATAGCCTCAGGCTGATATGGCCTCCTACTTAATTAATTTAACATTTCCCATGAGAAAATTAGAAATATGAATGAGGACACAGTAAAGTTATACTTGAAAGCATTGTGCAGTTTATATAATTTATTCACTTAAAATATTAAGATTATTATTTTATATGCTTAAATATTTTTCTATGCACTGATTTCAAAACCAGTAAATACTTTTATAGTATAAATATATTATTAAATATTCAGCAAATTTTATTTCAATTCTATTAAAAATGGATGCATACATCCTAACATAATGTTCTTGAAATACATTATAAAAGCACAGTTGATGAAAAAATATTAAACATTCTAATGGAAAATTTAAATTTAAGAAAATACAGTATCTCAATTACTGGTAATAACAGCAGCTTAGACATAGTGCAAGAAAAATAAGGGAACTGGAAAGTAAGTCAGAATAAAAAAATCCATGTTGAAGCATGGAAAGAAAAAGAAAATATAAATAAGAGTATGAGAGACATATGGGACATGCAAGTGTAATATAAAAGTTTTTCAATTCTGAGAGGCATATGAGAGAGAATGGGACTGAAATAATATTTAAGATGATTATAGCTGAAAGTTATTCCAAATTGATGGAAATATCAAGCCAAACACTCAAGAAACAAGAGAAACAAAACCACCAAGCATACTGCCTACAAAGGTAAATTTGCCTCAGTGCACTAAAGTAAAATATTAGCAAAAGTAAAAGCAGCAAGAGAAAAAAGATAGGTGATACCACAATCAAAATCACAGGACCTAAGATAAAGCAAAGCATTCTTTGACTTGACCCCAAAAAGCATGATCCATAAAAGGAAACAGTGATAAATTGAATTTCATCAAACTTTAACAGTTTTGCTCTTTGAAAAAGATGCTCTTTGAAAAAGTCTGTTAAGATGATAAAAAAAAGACAAACTACAGACTTTCTACTTATAGTACTATAGTTTCAAAACTCAACAATAAAAACAGAAGATAAAATCCAATTTGAAAATGGGCAAAATACAAGAGCAGACATTTACTGACAAGGACATAGAAAGAGCCAACCAGCATATAAAAAGATATTCCACATATTTTTTAAAAATTATTTCTATTCACATTAGGTAAATAGAAATTAAAACTACAATGTGATATCGCTACAGGCCTAGCATAAGAGCTAAACTTTTTGGTAAATTGTGGAGAAATTAGGTCATTTCTACATCATTGGTGAAAGTGTAAAATGGTACTGCTACTGGGAAACATATTTTGACAGTTTCATAAAAAATTAAATATGCAGCTACCATAAAATTCAGAACTGCATTTTTGGGCATTTCCCACAGAGATATGAAATTTTATGTTTATACAACAAAATGTGCACAATTATTTATAGCAGTTTTATTTATAAAAAACCCAGACTGGAACCAACAAAGACATCCTTCAATAGGTGAATGGTTAAGCAAATTGTGGTGAATTCATAGATAGAGACACAAAAAACCTTCAAAAAATCAATGAATCCAGGAGCTTGTTTTTTTTGAAAAGATCAACAAAATTGAGAGACCACTAGCAAGACTAATAAGGAAGAAAAGAGAGAAGAATCAAATAGACACAATAAAAAATGATAAAGGGGATATCACTACCGATCCCACAGAAATACAAACTACCATCAGAGAATACTATAAACACCTCTTTGCAAATAAACTAGAAAATCTAGAAGAAATGGATACAGTCCTGGACAATATACCCTACCAAGACTAAACCAGGAAGATGTTGAATCGCTGAATAGACCAATAACAGCCTCTGAAATTGAGGCAATAATTAATAGCCTACCAACCAAAAAAAGTCTAGGACCAGACTTATTCACAGCCAAATTCTACCAGAGGTACAAAGAGGAGCTGGTACCATTCCTTCTGAAACTATTCCAATCAATAGAAAAAGAGGGAATCCTCCCAAACTCATTTTATGAGGCCAGCATCATCCTGATACCAAAGCCTGGCAGAGACACAACAAAAATAGAGAATTTTAGACCAATATCCCTGATGAATATCAATGTGAAAATCCTCAATAAAATACTGGCAAACCAAATCCAGCAGCATATCAAAAAGCTTATCCACCAAGATCAAGTTAGCTTCATCCCTGGGATGCAAGGCTGGTTCAACCTACGCAAATCAATAAATGTAATCCATCACATAAACATATCCAAAGACAAAAACCACATAATTATCTCGATAGATGCAGAAAGGCCTTTGACAAAATTCAACAGCCCTTCATGCTAAAAAACTCTCAATAAACTAGGTATTGATGGAATGTATCTCAAAATAATAAGAGCTTTGTATGACAAACCCACAGCCAATATCATACTGAATGGGCAAAAACTAGAAGTATTCCCTTTGAAAACTGGCACAAGACAGGGATGCCCTCTCTCACCACTCCTATTCAACATAGTGTTGGAAGTTCTGGCCAGGGCAATCAGGCAAGAGAAAGAAATAGAGTATTTAATTAGGAAGAGAGGAAGTGAAATTGTCCCTGTTTGCAGATGACATGATTGTATATTTAGAAAACCCCATTGTCTCAGCCCAAAATCTTCTTAAGCTGATAAGAAACTTCAGCCAAGTCTCAGGATACAAAATCAATGTGCAAAAATGACAAGCATTCCTATACACCAGTAACAGACAAACAAAAGGCCAAATCATGAGTGAACTCCCATTCACAATTGCTACAAAGAGAATAAAATACCTAGGAATACAACTTAAAAGGGATGTGAAGGACCTCTTCAAGGAGAACTGCAAACCAACCACTGCTTAATGAAACAAAGAGGATACAAACAAATAGAAGAACATTCCATGCTCATGGATAGGAAGAATCAATATCATGAAAATGGCCATACTGCCCAAGGTAATTTATAGATTCAATGCCATCCCCATCAAGCTACCAATGACTTTCTTCACAGAATTGGAAAAAAACTACTTTAAATTTCATATGGAACCAAAAAAGAACCCACATTGCCAAGACAATCCTAAGCAAAAAGAACAAAGCTGGAGGCATCACGCTACCTGACTTCAAACTATACTACAAGGCTACAGTAACCAAAACAGCATGGTACTGGTACCAAAACAGAGATATAGACCAATGGAACAGAACAGAGCCCTCAGAAATAACACCAAACATCTACAACCAACTGATTTTTGACAAACTTGACAAAACAATAAATGGGGAAATGATTCCCTGTTTAATAAATGGTGCTGGGAAAACTGGCTAGCCATATGTAGAAAGCTGAAACTGGATCCCTTCCTTACACCTTATACAGATATTAATTCGAGATGGATTAAAGACTTAAATGTTAGACCTAAAACCATAAAAACCCTAGAAGAAAACCTAGGCAATTCCATTCAGGACATAGGCATGGGCAAGGACTTCATGACTAAAACACCAAAAGCAATGGCAACAAAAGCCAAAATAGACAAATGAGATCTAATTAAACTAAAAACCTTCAGCACAGCAAAAGAAACTACCATCAGAGTGAACAGGCAACCTACAGAATGGGTGAAAATTTTTGCAATCTACTCATCTGACAAAGGGCTAATATCCAGAATCTACAAATAACTTAAACAAATGTACAAGAAAAAATCAAACAACCCCATCAAAAAGTGGGCAAAGGATAAGAACAAACACTTTTCAAAAGAAGACATTTATGCAGCCAACAGACGCATGAAAAAATGCTCATCATCACTGGTCATCAGAGAAATGCAAATCAAAACAGCAATGAGATACCATCTCACACCAGTTAGAATGGCGATCACTAAAAAGTCAGGAAACAACAGGTGCTGGAGAGGATGTGGAGAAATAGGAACACTTTTACACTGTTGATGGGAATGTAAACTAGTTCAACCATTGTGGAAGACGGTGTGGAGATTCCTCAAGGATCTAGAAATAGAAATACCATTTGACCCAGTGGTCCCATTACTGGGTATATACCCAAAGGATTATACACCATGCTACTATAAAGACACATGCAAATGTATGTTCATTGCAGCACTATTCACAATAGCAAAGACTTGGAACCAACCCAAATGTCCATCAATGATAGACTGGATTAAGAAAATGTGGCACATATACACCATGGAATACTATGCAGCCATAAAAACGATGAGTTCCCGTCCTTTGTAGGGACGTGGATAAAGCTGGAAACCATCATTCTGAGCAAACTATCACAAGGACAGAAAACCAAATACTGCATGTTCTCACTCATAGGTGGGAATTGGACAATGAAAACACTTGGACACAGGGTGGGGAACATCACACGCTGGGGCCTGTCATGGGGTGGGAGAATGGGGGAGGGATAGCATTAAGAGAAATATCTAATGTAAATGACGAATTAATGGGTGCAGCAAGCCAACATGGCACAGGTATACATATGTAACAAACCTGCATGTTGTGCACATGTACCCTAGAACTTAAAGTATAAAAAAAAAATCATATTGCAAATAAAGGAATGCACTTCTAAGTAACTTAATATTCCATGAAGAAGAACAAACTTAAATGAAAAAACAAGTTCCATGAAATGATAATGTAAATAAGTCCATATAAAAATTTCTAGGAAACAGTTCAGCCATAACTAACAGGAAATTTATAATTTTAAATGCATATAATAAAGAAGATAAAATAATGCAAATTAAAAGCCTAAGCATTATTCTTAAGAAGTTAGAAAAATAAATCAATTTAATCCAAATAAAATAGAATAACAATTTATGAGATGAATTTAATGACATGGAAATGAACCAAAAGAAAACATTGAAGAGTTCACAGCTTAGTTATTTGAAAAGACAGATAAGTCCCTGGTAAATTGTTAAAAACAAAAGAGAGAAATAGAACAAATGAAGAATATTAGGAAAAAATCAAGAGGCTTACCGCCTCTTGTAACTATAGACTTTACAGATATCAGAAGCCAATTGTATATTACAATGTCGTCTTTTACTAAAATTTGAAAGTTTAGACATAATGCATATATTTTTAGAAAAGTAAAGTTTGTCAAAGCTGACACAAGAATAGATTTAGCTGGGCTTGGTGGCTCATGCCTATAATCCCAGCTACTTGGGAGTCTTAAGTGGGAGGATCCCTTGAGCCCTGGAGGTCAAGTCTGTAGTGAGCTGTGATCCTGCCACTGCACTCCAGCCTGGGTAACAAAGTGAGACCTTGTCTCAGAAAATAAATAAATATAAATAAATAAATAAGGACTGATTAAAGTTGTATTTATTAAATTCATTAAATATATAAATAAAAACCTTTCCACAAATAAATTCTCTTCTCATGGCTTTAATGGTGAATTCTACTAAAAATTTAAGAAAAATCATGACAGTAATTGTAAAAGGTATTCAAGAGTTCAGAAAAAGGGTGGCAGGATCATTTTTGTACACATTTTATGATGCCAGCATAACTTTAACATCAAAAGGTATAAGTGGAATTATAGCTATTCTCTGCACGATCATAGATATAATAAATGTCATAATTAAAATATTTGTAAACCATATAAAGCAAAAAAGGATAGTATTTTAAAAAGAGACGATGAAAAATAAAAACCTACCTAATCAGGAGAATCCAAAGCATTTGTGAAAATTCAACACCCATTAATAATAGCAACAACCGTGACAATGCTGCTATACGCAGGTAGAATTTTTGAATGACATTAACAAATTTGCTAAATATCAGGTCAATATAAACATGTTATTTAGAGTTCTCATACCACAAACAATTAGAAAATTAAGTTGAAACACTAGACCATTTGCCATTACATTGAAAATAAGACACCTAAGAGTAAATGTTACCCTTGTTAGCACTCAACTACTGTCTCTCTAGAGGGCAACTCTTAAAACTTAGGTCCTTTGCCTCAGTGGATCTTTATTTCCATGATTTTTAGATTACTCAGAGATCTAAAAATTGGTAAATTAAAAATATCATTTGAAATATGATTTAAAGAACCAAGCATGGGCTTATGTTTGCATCAGACATTGTTTTCGGACTAATTATAATTTTAAAAATTCATTTAAATAAGCATATAGATTGTATTTTTAAATTTCAAGATCATTTCAAAGCTTTAAGGTTAAAGTATATTCTCATAATATGGCACAACAATGGTTGCTAGTCCCATGCTACCTATGTAGTCTGCTGCAAATCTAGGCCAATAACACCCAGCCCTTGCTCTTGGCTTAATTGATACTTATTTTCTCTGAAGCAATGGGCTGAGCTGTGTATTGGCCCCTTTTAGCTATGACTTGGATGCAGGGCACCAAGTCCTGCACAAAGCAGCATGGTCCTGGGCTGGCCCACAAAAACAGTTTTTCCTCCTAGGCCTCTAGGTTGGTGATGGGAGGGGCTGCCGAGGACACCTCTGACATACCCTGGAGACATTTTCTCCATTGTCTTGGTGATTAACATTTGGCTCCTCGATACTTACACAACTTGAATTTCTCCTCAGAAAATGGTTTTGTCTTTTTTATTTCATTGTCAGGCTTCAAATTTTCCAAACTTTTATGCTCTGCTTCCCTTTAAAACCTAAGTTCCAAATTCAAACCATCCCTTTGAAATGCATAAAACTGAATGATTTTAAGAGCACCAGGGTGCTCTTTGCTATTAAAAATTTCTTCCACTAGATACCCTAAATCATCTCTCTCAAGTTCAAAGTTTCACAGATCCCTAGAGCAGGGGCAAAATGCCACCAGTCTCTTTGCTAAAGCATAGCAAGAGTCACTTTTATTCTGGTTTGCAACAGGTTCCTCATCTCCGTCCTCAGCCTGGACTTCATTTTAGATATCACTATCTGCATTTTCGTCAAAGCCATTCAACGAGTCTCTAGAAAGTTCCAAACCTTCCCACGTCTTCCTGTCTTCTAAGCCCTCCAAACTGTTCCAACCTCTGCCTCTTACCCAGTTCCAAAGTCAATTTCACATTTTTTGGTATCTTTGTATCAGTGTCCCACTCTCCGTGGTACCAATTTACTGTATTAGTCTGTTTTCATACTATTAAGAACTGCTTGAGACATGGTAATGTATAAAGGAAAGAGGTTTAATTGACTCACAGTTCAGCATGGCTAGGGAAGCCTCAGGAAACTTACAATCACGGGGGAAAGCCAAGGGGAAGCAAGGCACCTTCTTCAGAAGCCTGCATGAAAGAGAAGTGCTGAGAGATGGGGGATGAGCTGCTTATAAAACCATCAGATCGGCTGGGTGCATTGGCTCATGCCTGTAATCCCAGTACTTTGGGAGGCTAAGGCAGGCAGATCATCTGAGGTCAGGAGTTCAAGACCAGCCTGCCCAACATGGCAAAACCCCATCTCTTTCAAAATACAAAAAATTAGCTAGGCATGGTGGCAGGTGCTTGTAATCCCAGCTACTCGGGAGGCTGAGGCAGGAGAATCGCTTGAACCCAGGAGGCGTAAGTTGTAGTGAGCTGAAATTGCACCACTGCACTCCAGCCTAGGCAACAAGAGCAAAACTTGGTCTCAGAAAAAAAAAAAAAATCAGATCTCCTGAGAACTCACTAACAGGAGAACAGCATAGGGGAAAGCCACCCTCATGATCCAATTACCTCCACCTGGTCTCTCCAGGTAGGGGTTATGTGGGATTATAATGTGGGGATTATGGGGATTATAATTCAATATGATTTTAGTGGGGACACAAAACCTAACCATATCAAAAAGGTAATTACTACACTTAGCATTTGACATTACTACCCTTCTAATATTTTGATTAAGTTTTGTAAGTTGATTATGTGGTTACTCCTTTTTGCACTTTAAAACACTATACATTTAGCTACCATTGTTGCCTTTAACATTGAATAGTTTTAGATGTGATTATAAGATAATTGAACTTATTATGCTGTTGCTTGTGTATTTGTTTTCACCTCTTCCACCAAAATAACTTTAAGCTTTAATTGATGGGAGAAAAGATTGTTTGTAAGTGTAGCTTGTGGCATCCACATTTAGACAAATCATTACCAGTGTATGTGCTCTGCTTGTGAGATTAACCCATTACAGAGTGAAATGGCCCGAATCTGTATTCTTTAGTTTCATAGTGTTTGACTCTTTTAACCATATCTTGAAAACACTTTTGAAGAAATCCGATGCATCCTGATGCAGAGTTGGAATAAGAAACTCTATTTAAACAACAATTGGCGAAATCAGTTTTCTGAAGTGTATTTGTATTGCCAGGCTGTGTGACTGTTCCTCTTTCAATGACAATTGCTTTTCAAATTACGGATATTTCTATTATGAATGCTGCACATCTAAACGTATCAGCATGTAGCTATGTCAAAGAGATTGGCTTTTTATGAAAGTTTAAGCCCCGTATAACAGCAGAGTTCAGGTAAATAGAGATACTAATGTAAACTGCAACAATATAGTTCTCTAAGTTAATATATTTTCCTGTTCTGAAAAAAAAAATCTTTTAGTATGTTGCCTGAGAAAAATATTAAAAAGAAAGGCATGCATGCATGAAATTTGAAGACAGTTCCCAAAGTAGAATGATTTAAGAAAAATTTAGATATGCCTAAAGTGGAAACATTGAAAAAATAAAGAGAGTCTATTCTATTTTATGCATATTAAACTTCCTCTGTATTCTTTCTTTCATTAGAAATAAATGTACAAAAATAACACATAAAAGAAATTTTATTACATAACATTCTCTGCTTCCACCACATACAATTATTAACCATATAGCTTTGCATGAAAAAATTAACTAGGTCAATAGAGATTCTTTACTGTCAAAAATCAAGCTCATTTAAATAACAAAAGTTGATGTTATCAAATAAATGTATGCAGATACTATTAACGATTATATTATGAAGCAGATGCATTGACTAAACAGGACACTATGTATTTTAGAAAAAATTATTTTAGATCGAGAGGTTACATGGGCATTTTTTTACATGGGTATGTTGTATACTGGTGGGGATTGGGCCTGTAGTGTATGCATTACTCAAATAGTGAACATTGTGCCCAACAGGTTATTTTTCAACCCTTGCCCCTTCCCACTCTCTGCCCTTTTGGAGTCCCTGTTGTCTATTATTTTCATCTTTATGTTCCTTTGTCCCCATTGTTTAGCTTCCATTTATAAGTGAGAACGCGTGGTATTTGGTTTTCTATTTCTGAGTTAAGAACATTCTTGGCCAGGCGCAGTGATTCACACCTGTAATCCCAGTATTTTGGGAGGCCAAGGAGGGCAGATCACTTGAGGCCAGGGGTTCTAGACCAGCCTGGCCAACATAGCAAAAACCCATTTCTACCAAAAATACAAAAATTAGGCATGGTGGCTTACACCTGTAATCCCAACTACTCGGTGGCTGAGACACGAGAATCACTTGAACCCAGGAGGTGAAGGTTACAGTGAGCTGAGATTGAGAGATCGTGCCTCTGGCACTCCAGCCTTGGTTACAGAGTGAGTCTCTGCCACAAAAAAAAAAAAAAAAAGAAAAGAAAGAAAGAACTTCCTTTTTAAAATGCTTAAGCCAAGCAAGTTCATTTGCCAAAACTAACATTATGGTATTAGATTAGACAAATTTTATATATTTGTGATACTGACTTTTCCCTAATAAAGTACTCTAATTAACAGTAACAGTAACAGTAACTCTAATTAACAGTAACAGTCTGTCTCAATTAACAGACAATTGAAAGTATATTTTTAAAAGTGGATACATCTATTTGTAGATATCAAAAATACTCCCTGGTAATTATTTATAAATAGCAACTGTCTATTTTTTTTCACCCTTTGCTTTTGTAATGTAGACTAAATTTGTAATATCATTTATTTGATATCTTTAAAAATAAATAACCATTCTATGTATTAATTAGATCATGTATATGTGATAAATAACATTTGGGTTCAATTAGAAGACACATGAATCAAAAAAGATATTCTTAGGGATTTTATATTACTAAAGCAATTGGACAAAGAAATAGCAAGGTAACACAGTGGATATAAATCAGAATTCTGACAAAGGGATAGAAAATTTGATGATGGAAACCTGGCAATTATCTAGATATCTGCCAGAAGTTTATAACTTCTAAAAACCATAAACATGTTAAGTTCCCAGGTATATTTTCTAAAGAAAGTCTAAGGTAACAATGAATGCAAATTCTATTACATGATGAAAGAGACAAGGTGATTTGTAAAACAGAAATATTGAATATGCCAATACAGAGCAGAGACCAAGCAAATATTACAGCATTTTGGACAAAGTCAGACTGACATTCTCGTTTTTGGAAGCTTTTTTTTTTTTCAGAAATACGATTAATAAAAATTGAAGCTTACATACATTATCAACAACTCTGTAAGAGTTCAAGATGATTGGGACATTGTTAAACAAGACATGATAATCAAATCCTCATTTTTTATGTAGAGACTAGGAGTTTCTCTCTTCTTTTTTTTAAATTATACTTTAAGTTCTAGGGTACATGTGCACAACGTGCAGGTTGGTTACATATGTATACATGTGCCATGTTGGTGGGCTGCACCTATTAACTCGTCATTTAACATTAGATATATCTCCTAATGTTATCCCTCGCCCCTCCTCCCAACCCACAACAGGCCCCAGTGTGTGAAGTTCCCCTTCCTGTGTCCATGTGTTCTCATTGTTCAATTCCAACCTATGAGTGAGAACATGTGGTGTTTGGTTTTTTGTCCTTGCGATAGTTTGCTCAGAATGACGGTTTCCAGCTTCATCCATGTCCCTACAAAGGACATGAACTCATCATTTTTTATGGCTGCATAGTATTTCATGGTGTATACATGCCACATTTTCTTAATCCAGTCTATCATTGTTGGACATTTGGGTTGGTTCCAAGTCTTTGCTATTGTGAATAGTGCCGCAATAAACATACGTGTGCATGTGTCTTTATAGCAGCATGATTTATAATCCTTTGGGTATATACCCAGTAATGGGATGGCTGGGTCAAATGGCATTTCTAGTTCTGGATCCCTGAGGAATTGCCACACTGACTTCCACAAGGGTTGAACTAGTTTACATTCCCATCAACAGTGTAAAAGTGTTCCTATTTCTCCACATCCTCTCCAGCACCTGTTGTTTCCTGACTTTTTAATGATCACCATTCTAACTGGGGTGAGATGGTATCTCATTGTGGTTTTGATTTGCATTTCTCTGATGGCCAATGATGATAAGCATTTTTTCATGTGTCTTTTGGCTGCATAAATGTCTTCTTTTGAGAAGTGTCTGTTCATATCCTTTGCCCACTTTTTGATGGGGTTGTTTGCTTTTTTCTTGTAAATTTGTTTGAGTTCATTGTAGATTCTGGATATTAGCCCTTTGACAGATGAGGAGATTGCAAAAATTTTCTCCCATTCTGTAGGTTGCCTGTTCACTCTGATGGTAGTTTCTTTCACTGTGCAGAAGCTCTTTAGTTTAATTAGATCCCATTTGTCAATTTTGGCTTTTGTTGCCATTGCTTTTGGTGTTTTAGACAGGAAGTCCTTGCCCATGCCTATGTCCTGAATGGTAATGCCTAGGTTTTCTTCTAGGGTTTTTATGGTTTTAGGTCAAACATTTAAGTCTTTAATCCATCTTGAATTAATTTTTGTATAAGGTGTAAGGAAGGGATCCAGTTTCAGCTTTCTACATATAGCTAGCCAGTTTCCCAGCAGCATTTATTAAACAGGGATTCCTTTCCCCATTTCTTGTTTTTGCCAGGCTTGTTAAAGATCAGATGTAGATATGCAGCATTATTTCTGAGGGCTCTGTTCTGTTCTATTGGTCTATATCTCTGTTTTGGTACCAGTACCATGCTGTTTTGGTTACTGTAGCCTTGTAGTATAGTTTGAAGTCAGGTAGCATGATGCCTCCAGCTTTGTTCTTTTGGCTTAGGATTGACTTGGAAACGTGGACTCTTTTTTGGTTCCATATGAACTTTAAAGTAGTTTTTTCCAATTCTGTGAAGAAAGTCATTGGTAGCTTGATGGGGATGGCATTGAATCTATAAATTACCTTGGGCAGTATGGCCATTTTCACAATATTGATTCTTCCTACCCATGAGCATGGAATGTTCTTCCATTTGTTTGTATCCTATTTTATTTCATTGAGCAGTGGTTTGTAGTTCTCCTTTAAGACGTCTTTCATGTCCCTTGTAAGTTGGATTCCTAGGTATTTTATTCTCTTTGAAGCAATTGTGAATGGGAGTTCACTCATGATTTGGCTCTCTGTTATGTGTGTATAAGAATACTTGTGATTTTTCCACATTGATTTGAAATGGATAAATTCCTTGACACATACACCCTCCCAAGACTAAACCAGGAAGAAGTTGAATCTCTGAATAGACCAATAACAGGCTCTGGAATTGAGGCAATAATTAATAGCCTACAAACCAAAAAAAGTCCAGGACTAGATGGATTCACAGCCAAATTCTACCAGAGGTACAAAGAGGAGCTGGTACCATTCCTTCTGAAACTATTCCAATCAATAGAAAAATAGGGAATCCTCCCTAACTCATTTTATGAGGCCAGCATCATCCTGATACCAAAGCCTGGCAGAGACACAACAAAAAAAGAGAATTTTAGACCAATATCCCTGATGAACATCGATACAAAAATCCTCAATAAAATACTGGCAAACCGAATCCAGCAGCACATCAAAAAGCTTATCCACCATGATCAAGTGAGCTTCATCCCTGGGATGCAAGGCTGGTTCAACATATGCAAATCAATAAAGCTAATCCAGCATATAAACAGAACCAACAACAAAAACCACATGATTATATCAATAGATGCTGAAAAGGACTTTTACAAAATTCAACAATGCTTCATGCTAAAAACTCTCAATAAATTAGGTATTGATGGGATGTATCTCAAAATAATAAGAGCTATCTATGACAAACCCACAGCCAATCTCATACTGAATGGGCAAAAACTGGAAGCATTCCCTTTGAAAACTGGCACAAGACAGGGATGCCCTTTCTCACCACTCCTATTCAACATAGTGTTGGAAGTTCTGGCCAGGGCAATCAGGCAGGAGAAGGAAATAAAGGGTATTCAATTAGGAAAAGAGGAAGTCAAATTGTCCCTGTTTTCAGATGACATAATTGTATATCTAGAAAACCCCATCGTCTCAGCCCAAAATCTCCTTAAGCTGATAGGCAACTTCAGCAAAGTCTCAGGATACAAAATCAATGTGCAAAAATCACAAGGAGTTTCTCTCTTAAAAAAACACGATTGTCATATGTGAGCTTTCTGTTTAATTCGCATTTGAAATTATCTGTAAAAAAGTGAAAAAGATGCCTTACAAACACAATAGAATAGGAATTATATCAGAGTTTAACAGGTATAATAAGCTCATATTTGTAAAAATATTAAGAAATAATTAAAATAATTTGTATACTAACTGAAATGTATAGTAAAGAAAATAATAATCCCACAGCAGTGATAACAGAAACCATAAACTGGCTCAGTTAACTCAAATGAAATATTCTTCACCAATCACTCCGAAATTCGATTCTTGGATAAAAAGTAAACTTGCAAATGTATCACTATGTTATGAGGTATGATGGAGAAAATAGGGTCACACACTGGAGAATCACTAAAATTCAAGAGCAAGGTGAGAGAACATTTGTTTTATAAAGAAGGGGAAAAAAGAGGTAACATTATATATTTGTATGTGTTGGAGGAAGTGAGGGACTATGCAATGCCTGCTTAAATATTTATTTAACCCTTAAAAAACTTAAAATATTGACATTTTATTTCAATTTTGTATTAAGTAACTAATGTCTAGCTAATGTATATATGTTCCTCAGATGAGGCAGCACTGGAATTTTTACAATATATCTGATTATCCATCAATGTATTCCCCTACTCTAAGTGAAAACAAGGGGAAAAACAATCTACCCAGAGACTAGTTGTATTCAAATAAAAAAAAAAGATTTTCAGCTTATAAATAAATATGGAGGGAAATCAAGAAGGATAGAGACTTATTTGGAGATGGAGGCAGGGGTAAGGAGCACATAGGATCTTGCTAAACATGTATCTTTTGAGCAGTGATGGAAAGGCGGTGAAAGAGTGAGCCCAGTAAACATAATGAGGAAGTTGATCTCTTCTGTATCCTGAAGTACTTTCTTCACTGTCACTTCATGAAAACACATGCTTTTCTGGTGTTACTGTCACTCACCCCCACTTCTCAGTACTTTTATTTTCCTCCTCATCTTTCTGACAAACTAATGGGCTCAGAACACGCAGAGAAATTTAAGTTTTAACTGTGATATCCTTTGGTGAATTACCTTCTTTGGAAAATATTGAACTGGTTGAAATTAGTTATAATGTTCTAAGAAATGATATTAGTTCAATGTATTTCAGAAACAGGAAATATTATTTTCACAGCTCTATCTTCTCTCTCTTTGTTTCTCGTTTTTCTAAGGAAAGGGTTGAATGAAGACACCTAAGCATTATGATAATTTTCAAAAGAGGAAAATATCTTTTTGTCTGTTTATTTTGATATTTATTTTTTAAGAGCAGACTGGCCATACCTATTGAAATGCACGTTCTTCTCTTGGGCCACCATAAATTCTAACTTACTCTGCTTTTTAGTGTACATTAAGTCCAGATTCTAAAGAATTGCTTTCTCCTGAGCACTAGAGAGGAGAAGTTATTCATAAATCACGGAAGGTCTTGTTTAGCCTCTGCCATTATTTTAGACATTTGGGGCACCTCACCATCCTTCCAGGATTCAGGCTCCTCGTCTGTAACATACAGGGACTAGATCATGATCTTGAAGGCCTCCTGAAAAAAATAATAAAACCAAGACTCCACTGTTCTTGCATTTACTACTTAGACCAACATACAGTGATAAGCTATTCTGAATCAACACTGGGATATTTATATTTATGCAAACAATACTTTATGTCTCCTCCAACAGGTATTCATGTGAAAACATTGCATCTAATTGACCCCACAGTACCATGGCTGATTAAGAAAAAAAAAATCAATGCGTTTGCAATGCTAGAAAATAAAGTGTGATGAATGTTTAGAAATTATATACTGTGTTTTTCCTAAAATCTAATGCAGGATACAGCAATTTAGTTGATTGTTTTATGACCTGAATTTGAAAAATAACTCAAGTTGGAAGAAAAGATCCTTTAAAAATATTTTTAAACAGAAATAATACAGTGTAATTAAAATCAAGAGAACAAGCAAAATTAAATTTACGATTTAGAGTTTGTCTTTTCTTTAGGTTATTCATACCATCAGTGCCACTGATAAAGATGATTTTGCCAATGGACCAAGGTTTAACTTCTTTCTTGATGAACGCCTGCCTGTAAATCCAAACTTCACTCTGAAGGACAATGAAGGTGAACATATATACACATATTTGTTTATCTATGTGGTATCTGCTTTGACCTTATATGTAATAGGCTTTATTCTTATATACACACAAACATCTTGCAAATCAGCATTCAAAGTCAGTTTGATGCTACTGTGTTATGATCTGTGAATAGCTTGTGTTTAAAATTGAGCCATATGTACAAATAACTTTCATTGAATTTATTCAGAAGCATCTCTTTAAACAAGAAATGTACATGTAATATGCTCTTGGGCAAATTTTAAGAGAAATCTTAGCTGACAAACTTGTTTATGAGAGCTGCTGCCACTGCTTGGAGGTAGAAAATATTCAAATTAGGAAAAAATGAAAAATATATCCTAGAGACAGTTACTAAAGGAAATGCAATGCTTGCAATCATCTTGTATGAGCAAGGCTATCAAGATGTGCTTTACAAATTATATTTCCTCTTGTTATTATAAGCATTGTCCAAAATATGGGTAGAAGGATACACAGAAGTATGCAGCATATTTTGGAAATTTTTGAATCATTTTCATTTAGCCTTCTGTATAGTGTGGTTAAAAATAATCCCATAATTTAGTAACTACGGAAGTTTCTTCATTATTTAGATGTCCTCTTTGGTACATTTCTCAAGGTTCCATATAAGTCATTCTTCATACATTAGGGAAACATTAAGCCATATGGTATGTGCAGTTTTCTGATTAGGATCAACTTTTTCTTTGTCCAAACTATATATTTGATTATGTTTATCTGAATATGCTGCTATTTGGAATTTAACACTTGCCTCAGAATCACATGCAGAAAACAGTGGCACATACATTTTGAAGTAAACATTGAATTCCCTTTCTCTTCACTTCCGGGAGAAGATTTTCAAATGCAAGTCACTAAATGACAACCTGCCAAAAGCATTTTTCCCATTTTCCCTGAACATCTTTAAATATAACAAAGTATCAAAATGCGCACAAAGCCAAAAGATCTATATGAACATTTAAAGCTTAATTGTCTCTCACATTTTAAGTGGCCCTATGTCAGCTCTGCTTATGGGAATCAATATTTGTGCATGTTTGTGTATGACAAATTGCATTTAACTGACTATTGTACATTTACTTACATTAGAACAGGCTGTCTTATAATTCAAATATACTTAGTATGATTAACTATGTGAAACTTGTGAAAAAATCATATTTTTCCATATTTCAAAGAATTGTAAAATTTGGCAGAGGTTATTTAACTTGCTTCCTTAGGAGATTGGAATCATATGTTGATCCATGTACTTATGTTTCAGTTGCATTTTTTTCTATTCCAATAAAAATTTATATTTTAAAATAATTTAAATTTGATAACATTACAATGAAAATTTGACTTCGATTTGAAGATGTGTTCAATTCAAGCAGTTTAACCTACATAGGTATAACTCTGAATGTATTTTAGAAAAAACAGAATAATTTTGCTATTATTGAATCCCACATTCTTTTTTTTTTTTTTTTCTTTTTTAAGAGGGAGGTTTGCTCTCGTACCATGCCTGGCTAGTTTTTTGTTTGCTTGTTTGTTTGTTTTTTTCAGTAGAGACAGGGTTTCACCATGTTGGCCAGGCTGATCTCGAACTCCTGACCTCAGGTGATCTACCCGCCTCGGCCTCCCAAAGTGCTGGGAATACAGGAATAAGCCTCTGCCCCTGGCCAAATCCCACATTCTTAATGAGAAGTTCTTCATAAAAGATTGTTATAGCTGGAATTTGTGAATTAAATTAAAATTATATATATATAATTGTAATTATATATGTAATTATATATATGTTTATATATGTAATTGTAATTATATATATTTTTATATATATGTAAATGTAATTATATATATTTGTATATATTGAGATAGAGTTTCCCTCTTGTTGCCCAGGCTGAATTGTAATGGCGTGATCTCTGCTCACTGCAACCTCCAGCTCCTGGGTCCAAGCGATTCTCCTTCCTTGGCTTCCCAAGCAGCTGGGATTACAGGCGCCCACCACCACGCCTGGCAATTTTTTTGTATTTTTTAGTAGAGACAGGGTTTCATCATGTTGGCCAGGTTGGTCTCAAACTCCTGACCTCAGGTGATCTGCCTGCCTCAGCCTCCCAAAGCTCTGGGATTACAGGTGTGAGCTACCGTGACTGGCCGCTAATTACCCATTATATTTGAAATGTCTTAATTAAATGATTTGACAACATTACTAGTGTCAGAACTCATATATAGGTTTTCCCCTAAAAAATATGTACATGCTTTTAAAAGAGTTTGTGTGTACATTTTTTAACATTTAACTATGCAAATGAAGTTTACATCAGCTACAGTAGCTTGAGTGTGAGAAGTCTGTGGATGGTTGCATAGTGCTAAAGATGTTTAAAATTTTTGTTAGAATATTTTTACAATTTTTGAGTATTGAAATTATAAATAACACAGAAATAATTTATCTTGGATAGAAAAAAGCAGCAATTCTTTTGGATGGAAATATTGACACATAGCTGAAAACATGTACTTGAGTTAACAGTCTTGGTTGTCCTCCATAAATTCAGCCCCTAAACCTCCTGAGCCTCAGTTCTTAAATCCATTTTCCATGATTACAATCACTGGCTTAGTACCCTTGGTAGATTTAATAATACCATATATAAATATATTAGAATCAAATGGTCTTGCCTCCATAGACAAAGCAATTATAGATAATACTGTATAAAGATGAAATTAAAAATAAAATAGCCCTACCAAACTGTATACATACATGCATATGCACATGCTTACATACATATATTTATTCATGTACTCTGGAGATCAATTAAAATGAAAATACAGTGGAATAAGGGTCAGAAAATGCTGGACTGCAGGGTCTTGTGTGCTTGGGCTTTGTATTATGTAAGTTAAGTGACATTTACATGCCCACAGAACATTAAAAAAAAAAAGCTAGAAGAAAATTTATCATTTTCTGTGCCTATGTAAGTTAACTGACATTTACAAGCCCCCAGAATATAAAGAAATAAATCTAGAAAAAAATTATTACTTTCTGTGCCTACTTCTCACATGAAAGTCTGTATTGAGAGAAACAACAGAAATCAGACATAGCCCCGAAACCAGGATGAGTGATCAGAAAGCTATTGGTTTAGTGACATCTCCCAAATTGCTATATGACAAAAAGCAAGGGCACAGAAACAGATTTTTCAAAAAAAGAGAGAGAGAAAGAGATGCATGTTGTTGTTCATGATAAGCCTGAGAACCAAAAATTTAAAAGATAGTGAATGAATTGAGAAAGAAATCAGAAAAATGAATTTGCTCTGACTAATGAAAAATGCATAAATTATGACAAAAATGCTTTTGTTACTTCAAAATACAGAAATAAATTAATAACATATTTACAAAAAAGATAAAAAAATTGGTTAGACAAAATGAGGCAACAGTAAAAGAAATATGTATAAAAAATTAGAAAATTCATGTCAAAATAAAATTATAGTTTTGACATATATAGAGAACTATATAGATCCACATAGAGATATGTAGAAATTTAATGATATATATGTAGCTATATATATGTTCAGAAATTTTAATTTTAATTATATGTATGCACACATATGTATATATAGCACATATATGCAATTATAGCTATTGAACAACTAGGAACTACATAAAATTGTATAAATATTTAGTACAATTGAAATCTATAGTTGGGAAAGAATCTGTAGTTAGGTAGAAAAGAAGTGGGATCAGATAGAAAGCAAAGACTGTAACTGTAATGTCTTATATCTTAAAAAGAGATCAGAAACAAATGTGGCATAATAATGTGTTTCAAATCTAAGTGGTAATGTTTTCTTTTAATTTCTACATGAGGGACAGAGTTCACTAAAACAAGTTTAGCATGTTTCCAGGCACAAAATTGGAGCTCATGTATTCATTCAACCAACGTGCATGTAAACACTATTCCTGTAGGTTTCTGTGGCAAGTGATGATCTCATCACAGGTGTGGTCAGGCTATTTCTTGTTCTCAAAGACATCTTGCACACACTGAAATGGAGCAAAGAATAAACATGCTGCTCAACCAGCATATAAGAGATGTGTCTGTCCTGGAATGGGGAATTAGGACTAGTTCCTAAAGATGGAGATACGTAACTTGACAACTGAATGATGAATGAAGCTTAACAAGAAAAGAGGGAATGGCTAAAATTTATAGGCAAGAAGTTTAGCAAGCCTAAAGGCCCTAAGATATGAGGAAGAGTAGCAGAGTGAGCTTAAGGAACTGGCTAAAGTTCCATATAAAGTCAACATAGGTATTGAAAGTGGAAATTAAAGTTAGAGTTGTCTGGAGAGGCAATCTATAGCCAGCTTGATTTCTTAGGCTGTGAGAAGTCAATCTCAGTTTTTGTTTCTTTAAAAAATCAATCATAATTTCAATGGAAGATAGCGAAACTAACTTTTTAACATGAGTGATGTAGTACGATTTCTAAAGGAATATTTTGGCTGATATGTAGATAATGGATTGTGAGCAAGGAAGTGCAGTGGTATCAATCATCTTTAATTGTAACTATTGTAAAATACCTTAAGACTACGGAACAGTTTCCCTTTGTGAGCAATAATACCAGGACTTCTTCAGATCTTCAATTCTTCTCCTCAGGATGTTCATGCTAGGGCACAATTTCTCATGAAACTCTTGCATTTCTTCATGTCTTGCGAGCAGAGGCATTAATTTTTTATTTTCTTCCAGACTGTCTCTTCTGCAGTGTTTGTATACCAATCAGCCTTGGAAGATACAGTGTCTTCCTTAGGTTGAAAAGACGTATTTATTTGATGTATAGTATTAATAAGGATAATGATACTCTCTGATACAGAGATTGGGCATGTTTTCTTACAATTTATTATCAAAGATCCAGGCTCCCTAAATTTAAGATTCCTTAGTTGAGGTACAAACCCACTGTGTGCTGCACACCACCTGGGGCCTCCACATCACTCCTCTTCACCTTAAGGTATAAGGAAACAAATCTGAAGAAGAACTTATGCTCCTTGCTGTGATGTAAGTAAAAAATCCTTTGTCTTTGACTCAGGAGGCTTGTGTTTTCTTCCAGCATCTATAACACTGTGTCAGGCTAACTGACTAGCATGTAAGTAGGTACAATCTCAGCTCACACCCTTTACATTTCTTGACACTTTATGGAAGTAACTCCTACGAGCAACTATTGTAAAAACACCTATGTTCTTATTATAACTTCTTAATGCATGCATTCTGAGTTCATACCAGAGAATACTTTAGCAGTGTTTATGCCTAGAATTACATAAGGTAGCTAATTTCCTCACACCAAGAAGATCTTCGCCCATCTATACTCTGATGAAATTCTCCTATTTAATATCTAAATCTGCTTTGCTAAATAACTAAATGTAACACAATGTTCCATGGTTTTGTCGGATCTTTCCCATTCCCATGGGATCTTTCCTGACATATGTTCTAACCCTCTTGAATTTGGAATCTGATGATTCACCTGAACGTTGCAGAACAAATGTCTTCTTTAATGTTCCATCATGTTTATTTTTAAAGTTTCTTTATTTTGGACCTAGGTTTTATTACTGTGACATGTGCTGGGAATATATTGGTGGAAATACTAGCATGGAGCTAATGAACTGCTTAAGGAAGCAACAGTCCTATAAGAACAAATACATCCATTCAAAGAAAATGTGGTCTATACACATACAGCTTTGGTTGATATCCATTTGATTATTTTATAGACATGTAAATCACTAGTGAAATTCTTTATTTTTAACATTTTCTTTAGCATTTTATTCTTAATGATTTTACAATCATTGTCAGCCTTTTCTAATATCTAGAACAAATGCCAGTTTTTTGTTTGTTTGCCTTTTTTTTTGTCCTGGTGGGGGTAGGGGAAAGTGGAGACAGGACTGGAACACATGGTCTTATTTCTTGATATATAGAGAATTTTTTATTGAATGTCACATGTTTTGTGCTGCTATAGTGGAATACCTGAGACTGAGAATTTGTATAGAAGAAAAATTTATTTCTCACAGTTGTGGAAGCTGGGAACTCTAAGATCATTTGTTGTCTGTAAGGGCCTGGGCTCTGCTTCCAAGATGACACCTTTGGACAGAAGGAACACTTTTCTTTATGTGGCAGGACAGTGGAAGAGAAAAAAATCTCACTCCTGAAAGCCTTTTTTTTTTTTTTTTTTTTGAGATGGAGTCTCACTCTGTTGCCTAAGCTGGAATGCAGTGGTGCAATCTCAGCTCACTGAAACCTCCGCCTCTCAGGTTCAAGCGATTCTCCTAACTCAGCCTCCCGAGTATCTGGGACTACAGGCACTTTCCACCACACCTGGCTAATTTTTGTATTTTTAGTGGAGACAGGGTTTACCATGTTGGCCAGACTGGTCTTGAACTCTTGACCTCAAGTGATCCACCCGCCTTGGCCTCCCAAAATCCTGGAATTACAGGTGTGAGTCAATGTGCCCGGCCTGAAAGCCCTTTTTACTGTGGCATTAATTCCTTCATGGGACTGGAGCTCTCAAGACCTAAACACCACCCATTAGGCCCCACCTCCCAACATTATTGTGTCGGTGACTAAGATTCCAACACATGAATTTGGGACGGGACAAAAACATTCAAGCTATAGCACTAACAGAAGATCAAATGATAATATGTTTCCCAAGAGAGTATTCACCATTTCTCTGGTAAGCAATTAGAGAGGATTGTAGTCACTTTAATCCACTCAGAGTCTGAACTGAGTCACAGCTGATTTGCAGTTTTGTTTAGTTTCAGTTTGTCTCTGATTTGTCTGTTTTTAGAAGATGACCCTCTAGGGCTCTAGACTGAGAGCCTCCTTGTGCACTCACAGTGGCCTTTAGCTTTAATCACTGTTCAACACCAAGATATAACAAAAAAGCTTTTCTTTTGTCTTCCAGGGCTTTTCAGCTTAGAGGTTTAGCATTCTGTTAAACTTCCAATTTAACTTTCAATCTAAATTTTGAATGTAACAAATGTCTTTAGGGAAAATCAGCCATGTCCCTCAATTTCCAATTTAATTGTAGATCCAGGAAACTTCCAAAAACTCCCCTCATTTCTCTGTCCCCAGCTTAGAATCCCAGCCTCTTCTTAGTTCCTAATATAAGTAAATACCTATAGAAGAAAGGCTGTTTTGCAACCAACGGTTTGCTTCTTCTCTAGAATATTAACTCCTCTATTTATCTCACTTCAGCAGTTTTCTGCTGCCCATAAGTGGAGATATTCTTTTCTTTCTTTCTTTCTTTTTTTTTTTTTTTTTTTTTTTTTGAGACAGTTTCACTCTTTTTGCCCAGGCTGTAGTGCAATGGCGGGATCTCGGCTTTCGGCAACCTCAGCCTCCTGGGTTCAAGCCGAGTAGCTGGGATTACAGGCATGTGCCACCACGCCCGGCTAATTTTGTATTTTTAGTAGAGACGGGGTTTCTCCATGTTGATCAGGCTGGTCTCAATCTCCCGACCTCAGGTGATCTGCCCATCTCGGCCTCCCAAAGTGCTGGGATTACAGGTGTGAACCACAGCTCCCGGCTGAGATTTTATTGATATTTTAAGCTTCTCTCTTTGTTTTTAGTGGGAGAATTTGTCGATCAAAAACTGCGTATTTTACCTAGACCTACATTTTATAAATGAAGAACCATTTGTTTGAGAAAAGTTTCATTAAGTAATTGGGACATAAATGGAGTTTCAGAGAAAGGATGCCGTTCAATGATAGTCTAATTATCATGAAGATGATTGCTGCCTGGATATTCCTTTGAATGCTACAGATATTTGCTCTTTCAAATTTAATTAAATTGGGTTAGAACCCCATCTCATGTACCTAGCAAATCCAAGTTTCTCTCCAAAATCTCTGAGGATTAGTCACCATTTCAACCAATATTCCCTGTTTCTCAGGCACTTGTTGCCTCTATTACTTTTACATGCCTGCTACATATCCTTCCCAAAGAATTCTTCCCAAAGAATTATGTTCTCACAGTACGAACTGTTAATGAAAGTTTGAGTGTACAGACTGCAGGGAAAGGAAAGGCCAGCTTAGTAGCCATCTGAAAAGGGATATCAGGTGACAGAAATTATAGCCTAAGAATCGATTTCCAACTCATTCTCTTTTCCAAATCTTAACTGGGATAACATGGACAGCTAAATAAACTTGACCTATGGATGGATCCCAAAAGTCACCTCCAAGGCAGAGAGACTTTGAGATTTACAGGAAGATATTTAGATGCTGACTCAATTCTACCTACGATCCCTTACTATGTTGGAGGAATCTCTGGGAATCAGAGCTCAAAACACCTTTCTTAGAGAAAGATCAGAGGACATGGCAGGGGTCAAGTTAGTTCAAGGACAGAGGCAGTTATTATGAATTAGGACATATTGAACGTGATTATATATCTAAGTGAGACTTTTTGAGCTAACATGAAAATTTAAAAAATCTGGTAAGATGATACAATTCAAATGGAAACTATTAAAAACTGCATCAGTGAGCAGAAAGTTCAAAAGGGGAAACAAATAGAATGTTTCGGAGTTAGACTCTAGAAACAGCTTGCTGCTGTTTGAAGCCTGGCTTCTCTAGTAATTATAGGTGAAACTATGGCCACTTCCTTATGTTTACGGGATCTCTGTTTTCTCTTTTGTAAAATGGAGACATATAGGCAATTATTATTTTATCAGTGTACATAGAGATGAAACAATAAAGAATTTGAAAACACACATGCAATGTAATGAGTCATAATAGGCACATTGAAGATAACTAAAACATAAATAAATCGATGGAAAAACAATAATGGAATAACTAAAGAAATTATCCTGAGTGAAGAAAAATATAGATTTAAGAGTGGAAATCTTCTAACTTGACAGATGATGAAATAATGTTACAAATTTCCACACAGTGAATTTAAATTGTAAAAGTAGTAGATAGTGTCAAAATACTCATTTGTAAAATTAGAAGTGAACAGCCAGTTGATCTTCTTTTAGTGATATTTGAAAGAAAGAACTACAATAAAAGAATCCTTTTCTAAGATAACACTCATGAGACAAGTAAGCAATGGTATTTCAAAATACTGAATGTTACAGAAAACAACAACTGTATTATTTATAATAAAATTCATTTGGCAAAAAGTTACAATAAGGGATTTTTCAATATTGACTATGTAACTGTTGGAGCTATTATTGCCAAATGACAATAAGATGAAATAAGAATAAACATTTTTCAAAGGTGAAGTGTAAAATAAACTTTCTCTAAACTAATGTGATTAAACATTTACCAGAAACAATGAAGTGTTGAATATAATCACATATAAAAACAATGATAAATTGATTGAAAATATAGGATTTCTTATGAAATGTCTATTAAATACACTTTGCATATTGTCAATATGAATATATTCACTTATTGGACCTAATTCAAAATGAAGACAAACGCTTTACACACACACACACACACACACACACACACACCCCAATTCCCTCGGGCTGACATTTTAAGCTATCTGTCCAGCATGTACCACTCTAGCCTCACATCAAATTATTATTTATCATCACCCTTCCTTATGTTCCTTGGAAAGAACGCCTTTCTTCTTAAGAGAAATTCTGTAGACAGTTCTTAACATTGTTTTTCTTCTGCTAGTTAATTTTTCCAGTGTTATGTACTGTCTGCTGGGTATACAGCAGTTATTTAAACTGTTCTGATTCAAGGAATTCAAAGACACAGGTCCTGCTTTCAAGGGGCTTGCTGTCTAGTTGGGGAAATGAGGATGATATGAAATGTAATTATGTAATTTGCAGTTGATGGAGGTGAAATGTGAGCTACTTTAGAGAGATCACTACAAATTGTATTGTTAAAAGTGGTAGAACATGGTTTGACTTTAAGGATAGAGGCTGTTCCACCAGGGAGAGTGACTCAGAGATTACTTTTCAGTAAGTAGTAGATTAAAACAACATAGAGATGACAGAATGCAGCGTCAATTACTTGGTTGGAAAAATCTAGAGAGGGAAATGTAGCAAAGAAGAGACTCAATGGCATTTTAATTCACTCATGAGAACATACTAATGACTAAGCACTGTGCCTTATTCTGTACTCCAGTATAAGATACTCTGACATTCATTCTTTAGTTGCTTTAGTACCAAATTGTGGTGGCTAGAAAAAATTGTGCCAAGAAATCCTCCGTATTTATCTGGAAAGTTATTTCTCCCAATTTATTAAATATTTAACATTGATTCAGAGAATAACCAAGTGAAGGGTTTTTCTTTTATAATATATATTGTAAAATACATAATTTTGCTTAATATTGACCTTATTTTTATCGTTAATTAATATGTTGGTAATAACATAACTTTATTTAAAATTTAAAAACCAGAGTTCAAAGATGATTTTTAAGTTAGAGCATTTAAAGTTGTATTTTCTAAAACAACAAAAAAGTATGAAATGTTTTCTGATTAAAATGTAGTTTTTTTCTTACTTTAAGTTGTGATGTCAACTTTTAATTTTAACATCAAATAATTTCATTGTATAATTTTAACTGCTTAACTTCACATCTATAGTGAATAAACTATGGCCATATTATTACTAAATTTATGAATATAGGCTTGAGCCAGACTTCCAGGAATATAATAACCATGTTCATTCATTTGTAATATGCAAGTGCAACCTAATCCCCCAATATGAAATCATTAGTCTACAAAGATAAATCCATTCTGTTTCAAGATCTTCCTGCTGTTTCTTGAGGGAATGTGCTTTATTTGATGTAAAGAGATTTGCCAACCTAATTCTCCGGCTTAATTCTAACTGTAAGGTACATTTGTAAATCTTACAGATTTTATTAGGGCAAAAGATTATTAGTAATTGTGTGTGCATTTCTATCTCTGTTTACAGGGTTCTAAATCACATTTAATTTGTCTTTTACATTTGAAAATGCTTATTTTTTTTTGATGATTTGCTATCAGGAATATCTACTACTCACATCGGTTTTTATTATGTTCTCTTTTTTTGTATGTGTTTTCCATTCTCATAGATACTTGAATTCTTTAAAAATAAATGAGTCAACATAACACATTATTTCTAAGACAAGAAAAAATGCACTGGAAATTAATTTTTTTAATCCTATGAAACAAGATTTCTTGGAGTGTCATTATTACTTTGTTGGTGGCATTCTGAAGATTTACTGTTTTCTTTGGCTTTATTACTTGTTTTTTTTTGCAGCATTCATTCTCCTAAAAATGATCATAACATTTATAAGTTGCTTTATAATTTTTAACAAAACACTTAAAAGGAAACAGGAAAACTTTTTTTCTTGTGGCTATTTGGGGTTGGCGAAAGAAGATATAACTTTAAGCTGATATTGCATAGAAGTTACAATAAGGGATATTTTCAGTGTTGACTATGTAACTGTTAGAAAGAAGTCTTTTGGAGTCTTTTCAAATTTCACACTCCATTGGTAGGGAAATGCAGGTATGTAGTTTGATACACATTGGAAATCAAGGGAATTTTTAAATGTTTATCTTGTATTTCTTTGGCATTGCCAGATTTGTAGCAGTCAACATTCCCGTAGTTTATTTTTGTCCTTCAAACAAGAACTCACAGCTGGTGTTGTAATATGCTTAATTTCTCTACAGAGTATAACCATTTAAAATTTTGTTTTTATCCACAGGGTTTCAAGAGACCATTTAGTGATTCCTCACATTCCTAAACAAAATAACACACATATAATCCACCCTAAGTTGCAAATCAAGCCTCATATATCCTCTAATGGATGTGGCTGTAACTGTGTCCTGCTGAGTCAGTTATCTAAGGTCAGGGACGAGGTTGGAACACATGGATTTTATTCTACAGTGGCTCTCCTTTCTCCTATCAGTCAAATACTAACATTTATCCAGATGCACCTTGAGAGAATTACACCATCCTTTACCTGAATGCAGACACTCAAGCTTGACTAGTGAGAAATTAAAGAGCATGTATACAATCTTGACCCTAAAATGTAAAAGATTGTGGATTAACTGTAGTGATCCATTTTAGTGGCTCTATTGCTTTAGGTAGAAAGATATGCTTTTGTTCTCTCTCTGGTTATTTCAAACTCTATTAATTGTTGTTTTATATATATATGTAAAACATAGAAACATTGATTGTTGTTTTACCTATATATAAAATTATTTTTCCCCTTATGGATTTGCCAGCCCACACCACCTCTCACCTTTTTACTCCTACTCACAAATGAAAGAAAACTGACTCATATTCACTAAGCAAAAAAATAGAAGTAGAAAAACAAAACAAAAACATTGCTAATTTTGGCTGGGCGCAGTGGCCCACACCTGTAATCCCAGCACTTTGGGAGGCTGAGGTGTGCAGATCATGAGGTCCAGAGATTGAGATCATCCTGGCCAACATGGTGAAACCCTGTCTCTACTAAAAATATAAAAATTAGCTGGGTGTGGTGGTGCACGCCTGTAGTCCCAGCTACTTGGGAGGCTGAGGCAGGAGAATCACTTGAACCCGCGAGGTGAAGGTTGCAGTAAGCCAAGATCGCACCACTGCACTCCAGTGCCCCAGCCTGGTGACAGAGCAAGACTCTGTCTCAAAAAAAAAAAAAAAAAAAAAAAAAAAAAAACAGATTTTTATATATGTGATATATCATATATAAAAAAAACTAATTTTATCATTGCATGTCACTTGCTTTCCTTTTGTGAAAAAGTAGGTTCCATTCTTCTGCTTTAATTCTTTCCTTACTAAGAACCACATGGTGCTACAGGAGTCACCTGCTCCACCATGTACATTAATGCAGGTGAAGAAAAACTATTTTAAAAATAGAATTATACATTCACTTGTTAAAACTCTCTGAGGATTTATGCTTACAATTTTTTTTTAGTGTTTATAAATCTAGTGACTCCAAACATAGTTTTTTTTTCTGTTTTAACTCATTCATTCTCTACTAAAAAAATACTGTTTATAAAAGGTTTGTGATAAATAACGGGTAGAAGTTTTCTCTTGGAGTTCAGACTCCTATATTTGTTTTAAAAAAACAGCTGTTCTTATCTCTACTTCTGCAGTTATTATATTATAGTTGTATGTTTATGAATTATTTTACATTTTGGCTTGGACTTTATTTTAAAAGCTCACTTTTTCTTCATTTCCCTCCTCTTTAAATTAACACTTCAACAAATTTGTGTGTTATTCATAAGCACATTTCCTGATATTCTTCAAGAATCACATAGTTGTTTCATGTGTATTTGTGCTTATTTTGTAAAGCCCGAAATACAGTCTTGAATATACAGATGTAATGGCAAAGAAAGATTGAACAATTTAAAATACTTTTTTTTAAAAATCTTGGTAATAGATGGCAGCTTCTTTGCAGAAAAAGATGTTTTCGTGACGAGAGTGGAAAAACAGCTCAGAAGAAAAAGGACAAAAGAAACTTAGAAGAGCTACTGTGTAGCATCTGATAAAAGAACAAATATTGGCCAGGCGCGGTGGCTCACACCTGTAATCCCAGCACTATGGGAGGCCAAGGGGGGCAGATCACAAGGTCAGGAGTTTGAGACCAGCCTGGCCAACATGGTGAAACCCTGTCTCTACTAAAAATACAAAACATTAGCCAGGTGTGGTGGCGGGCGCCTGTAGTCCCAGCTACTTTGGAGGCTGAGGCAGGAGAATCGCTTGAACCCGGGAGGTGGAGGTTGCAGTGAGCCAAGATTGCACCACTGCACTCCAGCCTGGGCGACAGAGAGAGACTCAGTCTCAAAAAAAAAAAAAAAGAAAAAAAAAAGAACAAACACTAACAGATTGATTACTAATCTCCTCGGAGATTATAAAATAAGTACATTTATTTTAAATTTTTCTATATACTAGGTGGAATCAGTTAAGATGGTTATAATTTGTATCAGCATTATTTGTGAATCCAAAGCAGAAATAGACAATGGACACTGTATTTATCCAGGATTTTAAGATTATCAAGTAGGAAGGAGTGTGGCAGATGGTCAAAGGGATGACATTCCAGGGTGCAGATCAGAACATAATGACATATTGGATCATGCATTTGTAGTTTGGCAGAAAGACAAGTAAGGCCACAAGGATGTTTGCAAACTGAGATGAACAAGCAGAATCCAGAGTCCGAAAATGGAGATTAAGCCACTGTAAGATTCAAAGAAAGGGAAGTCAGAGAATACGAAGAAATAAACCTTCGTTAAAGAGCATAAAGAGAACATGCTGCTGAAGTGTTACAAGATATATTAGTTCATTTTGCTTTCAATTTCTTCCTCCATGTCAATATAATAAAATTGTAACAGAAGACAAGTTCCTGCTGAGTGTAGTTCAAATCATTATTAATCAAGTACCGATTATGGAAAGGGAGCTTTGAGGGAATGCAAAACACCATTGTTTGATGCATGCACTCTGATAATGGTTAAATTATGAATAGATTCTATTTCTGCCGCAAGACTGAAAAAAACTCAGAGACAATATGAAACCATGCCTATTGATTTGTCTGGTGGAAGTTGAGCCGTATTTCCTAGCTTTCTCTTCATACACATTAAAAAATTTTTTGGTCTAATTAGAGATCCACATCTGAGGATTTCAAATGTTTCTGCTGTTCTGATAGATTTGGAAATATTACTTTAATGGTCTGGCAGGCTATGCTTGAAATAAAATATATCTTTGCCTGCATTATCAGAAAAGAAATTTGCTGATATAACTGAGAGTAGGTGTCTGATAATTTCAGTTTCAAAAAACACATACTTTTTAATATTTTCTAAGCTATAAGGTAATTTTGGACTAAAAAATAGGATTTATTTTTGCCCCAAAACCTATTTTAAAGACATGCCTTATTTTAAATTGAACTGTATTATAGTTTGCTACAGTGGCACATAAATTAAAGTCTATCCTGCAAGGTCTTTCAAACTATTGAACAAAAAAATGAGACATATAATAGTAGCTCAAGAAAACTACATCTGATCTCCAGAAGCATGTGACTTGTATTCTACTAATGTATTCTGTGGCCTGTAGAAATACAGAAGTTGAATGCATAACTACCTAACAATATATTTTATGACAAATATTTTTGTGAAATAGCCCCACAACATTTTTACCAATTGTAAACATCTTTGGAATATTTATTGCTAGAAAGATGGATAAATTATATTTATTATTATGATTGCTTTTCAAATAAATGAAATTTCAATTATTTCACAGTTATCACAGGGTATTATTAGAGTGTAGGCATAAGCCTGATATTATATATGCATGTGAAAACCTCCCTGCTTCATCCTATTTGTGTCCATATTCTTTTTGAACAAGAAATGGGATCACATAACAAAATAAATAATGCATTGTCATCTATTTTTAAATATTAAAATACATGCAACACTATTTCTGCATTAAACTAAGGGTATGGTTTATGGAAATACTAGGAACATATTGGTTATAATGAAAAAGATAAAAAGTTTTCCAAAATTTTCTGGACATTTTCAGGGGCCCTTTTGTCAACAAAATTCATATATGACATGTAAACATTCTGTTAATTCTTCATGTGAAATATTTTCCAAACTATTTTTTAAGGTCTCAAAGTCTTCTAAACACATATTATTGGTTTAAAATTTTACTTTTAATGCAGTGAACCCAAAACTATGCCCAGTACTCCAGTGCAGCCATCCTTTCAATAAAGAGAAGCAGAAATTTCTTATCTTTATTGAATGCTCTCAGATTGTTTAGCTTGTTTGACAGCTCTGTAGACTTATGGCTATATGTCTATATTTGTCTATCTAATCTATCTATCATTTACCTATGTACCTATTTACCTACCTTTCAATCATCTATCTATATTTTAAAATAAAGCTGCTATTCAAGATCCTCCCTATGTGATACTTTCCAAAGTCTAGCCTCTAATATGCATCTTTATTTCCTGTCTTATTGTTAAATTTCTTTGTTCTGGCTATACAAAATCTCCTCGAATCTTAATCTAATACATTAGCTTTACTAGCTTGGCTTCCAAGTGTTCTATAATCTGCTGTCTTCATCCAAGCTATAGAGAGTTAGAATTAAGAACCCAGCTATGGTGCACATTATTAGAGATTGACATTGACAATTAGTACTTCTCATCCACAGATGTTCTATCATGCTATGTTTTCTCTTTATTCAGCCTATATTAATTTTTCTTATTCATTTGGATGCCATTTGAGACTTTCTATAATATCTTATTTATTTATTTATTTATTTAGAGACAGAGTCTCACTGCTGACAGCCTAGGCTGGCATGCAATGGCGTGATCTCGGCTCTCTGCAACCTCTGCCTCCCGAGTTCCAGCAATTCTCCTGCCTCAGCCTCCCAAGTAGCTGAGATTATAGGCGCCCGCCACCACACCCAGCTAATTTTTGTATATTTTAGTAGAGACGGGGTTTCACCATGTTGGCCAGGCTGGTCTTGAACTCCTGACCTCAGTTGATCCACCCGCCTTGGCCTCCCAAAGCGTTGGGATTACAGGTGTGATCCACTGCGCCTGGCCCTCATTTATTTTTTAACCATTGTATATCGCATTAGAGATTTGTTATGGGTCTTGTCGCCTAATTTTGCAATTTCAGCAAGACGTATTTTATTGTGTCTGATATATACACATATATATGTACATGTGGGAATTGGTGTGTATGGTGTGTTGTGTTTGTGTGTATGTGTATATATGTATGTGTGTATATATATATTTCTATATAATACATATCTATATAATATATATATATTTCTTCTTCCTTTCATATTCTTCCTCAGTGTTCAAAATTTTATTTTTCAAGTTCAGTGAGCCTTCTGCCAAGTACATTTTGTACTGTTCCGGTGAGGTACAGAATATGCCTTGTCAAGAGTTCATTATTCTGCTGTGCTAAGCCTTTCTAGGTGGGAAGCTCTTGCCTCCTGAATCATCCTTTCTTTTCAAAAGTCAAAACTTTAACGGGAAAAACAGGAATGAACATCTTTATGTCCTTATGTCTTAGAGATTTCTATTTCAGGACTTAAAATGCACTAGAAACATATTCTGGTATTTGTCTTATTTCTGATTGCATTTCCAATAGTTTTCCTGAAAATAGCATGCTTCAAGATTATTAATATGAGACGTATGCTAGGCCTGAGCCATGAAAGAGCCGCCATCTACACTGCATGTTCTGTCATTTCACATGTTATTATTCGTGTTTCCTGAGATTCAGGGACCAGTGTCTCACATCTCTTTTTCAGAGGAGCAGCTGTAAGATTGTCAAACATGTTTGTGCCCGTGAATACTTATTTCACACATTTCCCATAGACTAAAGACTTCTGTTCATTGTGATGCAACATCCTACAGCTGATAGATCTGCTTCCACAAAAGTCAGGTTTTCTGGGAGAGTAAACATGACTGATAAATTATTATATAATACACGTGATGTCATTTCTCCACTTCTTTCTCTATCCTATAACATGTTTAAAAATAGACAGCTGGCCAGGCGCAGTGGCTCACGCCTGTAATCCCAGCACTTTGGGAGGCCGAGGCGGGTGGATCGTGAGGTCAGGAGATCGAGACCATCCTGGCTAACACGGTGAAACCCCGTCTCTACTAAAAATACAAAAAATTAGCCAGGCATGTTGGCAGGCGCCTGTAGTCCCAGCTACTCTGGAGGCTGAGGCAGGAGAATGGCATGAACTCGGGAGGCTGAGCTTGCAGTGAGCCGAGGTGGCGCCACTGCACTCCAGCCTGGGCAACAGAGCGAGACGCCATCTAAAAAAAAAAAAAAAAGAATAGACAGCTGATGTAGTTTTTAAAAATTCTTCTTTCACTAGGTAAGAAAATTTTCTTCAATTTCTCATTAGATTATTTATTTCTGATTTTCAGTAACTCAATCATATATGTATGTATGTGCATATTTTCTTGTGTTTTATTATATGTAGTACATTGAATATTTTAAAAATTAGCTTTTTTATTATGTTAATTTAGCAATGTACAATAAATAATATCATTTTAGGATATTGCACTGTGACTGTTATAAACATACCTACATAAAATACAATTTCTATTTTCAGAATAAAAGACATTGTTAAGAGAAAAAGAGGCCCTAATTGTAATTGTCTAATGACCCACTTACTTTTTAGTGCAAAATAATTAACTCATAGATGTAGCTGCCTATTGAGTTCCCTGGAGTTGAATTGGCATTTGGAGCGCAGGTGTTAGTGGAGTATGCCATTGGGATCAACATCTGTAGATCACAGGAGAAGGAAGAACGACAGCGTAGAGTGACAGATGGAGCTGACATTCACTCTTAATGTCTCTTAATGGCTGACCCTATGGAAAAGCTCTGGAGCTAAAGTTGTCCATCAGTATTGTCAGTAGTGCAGGAAGGGGGATGGCCCAACGTTTGTAACCTTTCAGCAGTGAGTCGTTAGTTATATGCTATTCCAGAAGTGTGACCTGGGGGCAGGTGGCAATCTATAGCTACGGCAACAGGAAATTTTATGAAGGGATCTGAACAGTACATCCAAGTATGGACCATGTGGGTTTTCAGCTATGCATTCAGGGACGAGGAATAACAGTACAATGAAACATATATTATGCGCACTGCGGACATCAATACCATTTGGCAGTGAATTGTAGATGAGGCAATGTGACATTGTGGTGTTGAGCAGGGTTCTAGAATAGAGGTTTTATCCTTATCATTTACTAGCTTTGTGATTTTGGGCAACTAACACTCTGGGACTAGGGTTATTTACTTTTAAATTAGTATTTATAACAAAAATTATTTTCAGCTATGAATTAAAGAATTTAGCATCCTGTCCCTCATAAAGTTTTATAGATTGAACACAATATATCATGCAGGCATTTATTATAGTACATTGCATTTAATAAACACATTTTTAAAAATATGATTAGCTATTTTATTCATCATTAACTTCCCCATGGTCAAACAATACAGCTTCAAATCACAGCCAAGTCTAAAAAGTTTGTTGCTTGATCTACTGTCTCCATAGAAATATTATATAAACCAGTTATTCTTATACCTGTTTTATGCATCAACTTCACCTCAGTAGTTTGCTAAAAATACAGATTTGTGCTCCTATTACCTATATTCAGAGCCTCTAGGTTTGGAGAAAATCTCATTGGCTCACTTCAAAGTATAGGACCCTAAGTGTATGACTTCAGGCCGTCCGCATCCCTTTAAATCTTATAGCTATTAGGTCCATGTCCAAAATGTTCATTGCTTCCTCCTGCTTTGTCTTCCCACTATTTTCTTTCATCTTTAGTGTGGCTGTATTAATTTTTCTAAATAGGTTTCTCAGTTGGAGAACCAATATTAGCTTCTCTTTAATAATTGCCCCTTCGTGTTCCCTTGTCCATTTCATAAACTGAAACAAGAAAGATACACATCCCCATTTTATCCATTAAAGGAAATGTGAATCTTGAATGGCGGCTTGACTAAGTGTATTTTGTTTTGCTTATGTCTATCATAGATAACACAGCCAGCATTCTGACAAGGCGGAGGAGATTTAGTCGAACTGTTCAGGATGTGTATTATCTGCCCATTATGATCTCTGATGGTGGAATCCCCTCTCTCAGCAGCAGCAGCACCCTCACCATCAGGGTTTGTGCATGCGAGAGAGATGGGCGTGTGCGGACCTGCCATGCAGAAGCCTTCCTGTCCTCGGCTGGTTTGAGTACAGGAGCCTTAATCGCTATTCTTCTCTGTGTTCTCATTCTCCTGGGTAAGTCATTCTAAACCCTAAGTTTGCATGATGGCAATTCTGAATGAGAGGGAATCATTTTGACAAATCTTAAGGATTAGGCATCCATAATGTGGGTAAGGAAACAGCTGCTCCAATTTCCTATGAATTAATTTTCTCAATACTGTCATTAATCTCAAAATAGTTAGATTCAAATATGTTGGAAGAACTGAAATAACAGAAGAAGGATAAAATCGGAAAGAAATAGCTTTTGAAAGTGTATATTTTGGAAAGAATTAATATTAAAATATTCAGAATCCCACCGTGAAAGAGCTTTTAAAAATTTTTGGCAAGAATCTAAGCGGCATCATTCTAAATGAATCTGACCAAGACCCCAGCCCGCTTAGCTTCTGAGATCAGAGGAGGTCACCCATTCATTCAGCATGAGGGTGAGGGTCATATGGCCTTAGGGTGAGTAAATGTACAAAAAATGAGAGATCAAATATACAACAAAAGGACTTTAATTAATAACAATATTGTGTTGTATTGGAAATTTGCAAAGACAGTAAACTTCAGGTGCTTTTTCCCCTTCACGTGAAAAAAGAGTGTAACTACGTGAGATGACAGAAACATTAATTTGCTTGACTACACTAGGCATTTCACTGTGTAATAATAGTGAAAACTATTATTGGGAAAACATCATCATGTTGCACACCTTAAATATATAAATGAATAAACCATAAAACAAAACGAATCTGAAAACCAAATAAAAAATAGATAACTTGTAGAAACTTCTACTAGTTCACAATAATTAGTTAATCATTAATGTTAGCTAGTTATTAACATACTGACTAAATATTTTTTGGTCTTAGAGGGATATTAAATTTTATTGAATTTAATTATATTCCCTTAAAAACAATAATTTTTGGCCAGGTGCGGTGGCTCACGCCTGTAATCCCAGCACTTTGGGAGGCCGAGGCGGGCGGATCACGAAGTCAGGAGATCGAGACTATCCTGGCTAACACAGTGAAACCCCGTTTCTACTGAAAATACAAAAAAATTAGCCAGGGGTGGTGGCAGGCACCTGTAGTCCCAGCTACTCGGGAGGCTGAGGCAGGAGAATGGCATGAACCTGGGAGGCGGAGCTGGCAGTGAGCTGAGATCGCGCCACTGCACTCCAGCCTGGGCAACAAAGTGAGACTCAGTCTCAAAAAAATAATAATAATAAAATAAAATAAATTTTTTATTTGAAATTTTCATTACAGTTTATTAAAAAACACACTTTCTCTAATTTTACATTATCTGTTGTAATAATCTAAATCTTTTCACAGCCGCATGAAGAGCTTCTATAACTATAAACTCTTTAGAATGCTCTTTGAAACAAGATAGCAAATCTGTATTGTAATAACAAGAAAGATGGATGTAAGGAATCTTTCTGCTTCATCAAGTGGGGACCTGTGTCCAAAGTCTTTTTTCTTTCTCTTAGCAGCCTGTTTTTTATTCCTTTTATGGTACTGACATACATGAAAAGATAATTGACTGTTTTTCTGAGAAAGAGGTATTCTTGAAAAAATATGTTCCTTGTTTTGTTCCTGGGGTTGAAGACAAATAACTTGTATAGATGGAGTGGATATTAAAGTGTAATGAGCTTGGAAAGGAGAAGGGATTTGTAGGAAAGGGTGAGAGCATCCAGAGACTTGTGGGAGATGGCAAAGCTGGTGAGTTTTGTTTTAGGAGTGTAAAGAAAGGTTTAAAGCTAGAGAGTCCCATTATAAAATCTTCAATTTGCAAAAGATGACTGTGAATGAAATGGAGAATAGAACTCCTGGTGACAAGAGGGCATGTAGGGAAACCAGTTAGGAAAAGTCTGCCCTTGTCTCCCTTCGACACAGTACGTGTTAGAGTAGCATACTTATAACAGACCTGAGGAAAAGTGAATAATATCTAGGTACTTTCAATGGACTCAGAAAAATGATCTTTGATAATGTAGATACCTGCATGAGTTAGAATGGCCTCAAATATAACTTCTTATATGTTGCTGAATGTAGATCCTGAACTACCCTGAGCTAGAGGACACTGGAAGTCCACTTCATTCAAGTTGCCCAGCAAGAGAATATATGTAGAGAGATAATGGACTGGGATTACACAGTGAGAAACTACAATGTGATCACTAAATAAGGATGAGATAGCAGAGGACAGTGAAGAAGTGAGAGTAGGAAGAAAGTAAAGTATAATGTCACAAACGTTGAGGGAAAAGAGGGTATCAAGGAGCATTATGCTGTGTAGTAAATCTTGTCAACAAAGTCAAAAGATGCTTACAAGTTCAATAAATTGAGCACCAAAATGCTCAGTTGTACTTAGCAACATGAAGGATGGAAGTTTGGTGCACCAGAGCAAGAACTATTTCACTGCATTCCAGTCATTTCTAGCTCGTCATGGTGGCATGCACCTGTAGTTGAAGCTACTTGAGAGGCTGAGATGAGAGGATCCCTTGAGCCTGGGAGTTGGAGGCTGCAGTGAGCCATGATCACACCACCGCACTTCAGCCTGGGTGACAGAGTGAGACTCTGTCTCAAAAATAAATAAATAAATAAAAACAAATAAATATGTACAGTAAATGTATGGTGGAGAGGAAAGTCAGGAAAAGAGCCTTTAGAAACTTTATATGGCCGGGCGCGGTGGCTCATGCCATAATCCCAGCACTTTGGGAGGCTGAGGTGGGCGCATCACGAGGTCAGGGGATCGAGACCATCCTGGCTAACACGGTGAAACCCTGTCTCTACTAAAAACACAAAAAATTAGTCGGGCTTGGTGGCGGGCGCCTGTAGTCCCAGCTACTCGGGAGGCTGAGGCAGGAGAATGGCGTGAGCCCGGGAGGCGGAGCTTGCAGTGGAGCTGAGATGGCGCCACTGCACTCCAGCCTGGATGACAGAGTGAGACTCCATCTCAAATAAATAAATAAATAAATAAATAAATAAATAAATAAATAAAATAAACTTTATATATTTATTGGTCAGAACTGCTGTTTTCTTTAGATATTAACATACTTCTTTTTTGTGTATATTTGAAAAGAAGAAGAGCACAAACACTCCAGAAAGAGAAAACAAGGCTGCACAACAATTACCCTGGATCTCTCTAGAGTCCTAACTGAAGTCATAGAGAATAGAACGCAGGGATTTTAATGAGAGTTCTTCCAGCGTTCTTACTCTTAAAAGTCGATCTCTTAGGTGAAGCATGTTATCTTCAAATTTTGAGCTTGTTTATCATCATAAAACTATTTTTGTTTACTAAGATAAATATCAAAAATGTAATTAATGTGTTAAATGTCTAGGTACATGTTGAGGTGCATTATTGAAAGAACATTTTATGTTTTCATGGAATGATACTTCATTTTAATTGGTTTTTATGAAAATGTTTTCTCATTTGGGGTAAGTAATAGAACATTTGTAAATTTTATTATATCCCTCAAGACTAATAAAGTTACTATATGATATGTTTACTTTTTCATTTTTATTAGTTGAAACTCAAATATGCTGTAAAAGCATATTTGAGCCGTGATCTGACTGGGACCTCTGCCAGCTCCCCTTTCAGTCCATACCTCACATATAAGCAGGTGACCTAGGTGAGGCCACCGTAAGTGAGGCATGGACTGCTCCTTATCCTAGATATAAATTTCCGGATAAATGGGGATCGAAGTGGGTTTGGTGTGAACACGTGGTGGACAAAGAGAAGAAGATGGAATTGGTGAGAAGATGCTCTAAAAGCATATTTAAGTTTCAACTAATAAAATTAGTGAAAATATATAACTACAATTATATATTATAATGCAATATTTGCTTTTCATGGCATTGATTCGTTTTTATTGTTATTCAGAAAGTATCTAGCCAAGGGATACAGGATATAGCCATCTGTAATTTTAAAATAATGTTGAAGTTAATTTATGAGATTATGATTTTCGGCATAAATATCGACAAAACCAAATGTAGCAAAACTTTATTTTTGAACTCGTAATTCTGAAATAACGTTCAACCCTCGCAGCTAAACAAATTGTAAAATTAATATTTTAATATTAAAAAATTTTCCCTCTCAGCTTCTTGTTTGTGAAAATGGCTATGATTGTACAAACCCAGCTCTAGTTTTGCCAATAACTGTGTGATCTAAAGCCACACATTCAGTTTTTCTTGTTTCTATTTCTAAACCTGTGAGAATGACATTTCAGTTGAAAGGACCTTAGAGTCATTCTGTAGAATTTTGAAATGCTTATTCTTGTTTTATTAAAGATTGCATATGGTTCAACATTTTACAACATGGTCGGAATCCATCTATGTATACGTTGAATGGTGCTTGTCAACCAAAGAGGCTAACTTTAAATGATAGATATAAACATTATGAGCTGAGTTACTGTCTGTTGAGGTTACCTTTTTCAGGTCTATTGCATATGATGGATGGAAGAGAATTTAGAGTGAGCCTTTATGATGCAATCAGAATTTACCATGACAGTAGAGGTAGCTGAAATCCTCTCTCCCTCCCAGAGGCCTGACTTTTATTTCCCAACTTTACCCCATCTCTTGCCAGAGGGACTAGAGTAGTTGGCAAGGCAAATCTTGATCACACTAGGCATAAGTCATTGAGTCGGGATCTGACTGGGACCTCTTCCAGCTACCCTTTCAGTCCACAGCTTACATATAAGCAGGTAACCTAGGTGAGGCCACCATAAGTGAGACATGGATTGCTCCCTAATATTGGATATAAATTTCCTGATAAATGAGGATCAGAATGGAGTTGGTGTGAACACGTGGTGAACTAAGAGAAGAAGATGGAATTGGTGAGGAGATAAAGGTCAGCCTGCTTTTCATTTGAGCTATTTCAAATGGTTTTGTGTGCTACCCTTGGTTTAAAAATCTAAGGTTTCAGAGAGAGATGCCACTCCCAAGTGTGGCAAGTCACACTCCGTAAGTCAATAAAAATAACCTCCCTGACTCAGGCCACCTCAATTCTACCAAATTCAGTGCCAACATATGATGGTATGACAAAGAATCAAGTGGTATTTGAGGTTTAAAAAATTCTGCTATGCAAGCTACTTAGGGAGGAGTATGTTGAGATTCAGTATGGAATGGGTTCAAATTCAAGTTGTATGATAGTTTATATTATGGGAACTGAAAGCCACTTAGTATGCCAAGCACTGGAATGATACATAATATATAGGAAAAAATACATATTATGAGAAAACAAATACAAAAAATGTTTCCCCATCTTTGAATTACTTGATGATAAAATTAATTCATAAAACTCCACAAATTTATTCTAATTTATAATATAAAATGATAATCTCACGGGCATTTAAAATTCTGCCCAAACTTGAACAGAAGAAAAAGAAATTCACTAACCAAGGATAAAATATTTATTTTAGACTAAAGACATGTAAAAAATTCTACAGCTTATTCAAGTTTCAATCCAGTTGGCTTCAAATTATATCATAAATTATTTATTATTTTGTACAAAGAAAAACAAGTTCTATATCTTTTCTTTTTTTTGTAACACCACCTTGGTTCTCTCATATTGTATTTTACCAGATGACTCACTGTAAGAAGAGGTACCTTGCCAATGTGTATGCTTTGATAGGTTATCAGGGTCATTTGAATACATTCTTTTGACTGTCAGTTTTTAAATAAGGATTTGACTCTATTTATATGTATAATTATTATCTGCACTCATTCTTTTAAAATATACTTTGGTCTTAGGATTTTTTTTGGAAACATTTCATTTGTTTTTCAAACATTAAGAAATATTCTCCAGTACAATTAGGAGTTTGATGTTATTAGTAACCATAAGCTAATTTTTAAAAAATATCTTAAAATTATTTTCCTAGTGAGGCTATTACTGTTCAGGGTAATTCACTTAACACAATGTCACATTACCATTTTCACAGAGATTTTTTTTTTGTTTGTCCACATGATAATTGTTTATGGAGTATCTACCTGGTGCCATCTGCTCCAGAAATATCTGTGGAACCAACAGGAATGAAAATAAGTTCATCAGGAACACAATGTACAACATTTTTCTGAGTTGATTTGAATTTATCTTTAACTAGAGGGATCCTATGTCTGCATTTGCCCTGATGTCCTGACATAATTATGAACAACATCCCCTTTCACTCAAAAATGTCTCAGATTTTGATTTTATACATATATATATATAAATATATATATATATCTCCTTTTATTAAATAAGTATGTAACAAGCCTAGGAATCACTGAATACTAGCAAATAATATCCAGAAAGGTAGCAAATACTACCTTTTCTGGGGAAAAGGTAGATGTAAACCTTCAACGTTCAAATGTAAATGGTCTCTATATTTTGAATCATAATATATCTGAATTATTTTCTTAACTTTTGAGAAATAGAAACTATATGCCATGATAATTAAAAAGCCAGGATTATCCCTGTATTTCATTAAGTGAATATGATACATATGCAAAGATTGAAAAATTGCACAAATATTGAAGGATGCAAATTACCTCCATACCTCTATGGCAGTATTGATTACATATTCCCTGTTGTGTCTGCACATAAATTCCCTTGACATCAACCACCAACCAATTCAATATAAAAGAAAATAACTTGATTTATTGGTGAAGGTAAGAAATTGTATTATAATAAATTAGGCAGTCTTTATAAATAGGTCTTTCGATCTAGAACAGCCTCCTCATTTAATTATAAAGATGAACAGAGATATATATCGTGCATGATAAATCTAAACTTCTGAATACAGTGGAGTGAATTACTTGAGGATGTTGTTTGGAGCTTTGAATTAGAAAACTGTAAGGTGGATTTATGCTAAAATACACAGGCAGTTATTAAATGCATATTTCCTATGTTCAGCAAAAGCCTTTTTTACCCCAAAATAAAGGCATATATTAAGCAATGTCTTTGACATATAGGCAACGTATATGGGAAAATCTGTAATTCTGTGCATAATATTTGTAGATCAGGGCATGTGTAGCACCAACATTTCATTTTCAGCTTTCTGTAACCACTTCATTTTAAACAGTAGTAATTCAATGCTTCCCATGTCTGCTGTAGTGACCCTCATTGAATTTTCTCATTACCTTCCCAATGCTAATATCTTTTCATTTCACACGTTTCTGGATGGTTCTATGACTTTCTCTACAGATGTTTTTTTCCTGTCTTTTTGGTTCCTTCATAGTCTCCCATTTGCCTTTCCTCTGCAAAACTGGGTACCTCCCAGTGCACAGTGACCATCCCTTTCTCTCACTTTCCTTTCCATCTCTGGCTTTAAAATCTACTCCTCTTCCACAAGTTTTCTCTAGTTTTAAAACAGATAAAACTAGTCCATATAGATTAGAGTTATACATTAAAATGGTTAAGCTATAAAGAAGAACAAAGTAACCATAATGATAAAAGTGAAGATAAAAGTTACTTTGCAGAGGTAAGCAGTAAAAGGGCAGTTTCTGGGGGGAAAGTATGTTCTTTATCAGAGTTAGATAACCTGGTGTTTGATTCACAACCATTCATTCAAGTTCACTTATAATCAAGGTTGCCAGACACAATGCAGTATACCCAGATAAATGTGAATTTCAGATAAATAAGAAATATATCTATATCTGTATATAGGTATGTATGTGTATATATAACATAAATATGTCACAAGGAATAATATAATAATATTTGGAACATATGCATGTATGCTTAGCACAATATTTGCCTGTGTGTATCTCAAATATTATATGGGACACACTTAATACCTTATGTGTATGTGTGTGTGTATGTGTGTGTGTGTGTGTGTGTTGCAGATGGTCTCCAACCAACAATAGTTTGACTTAAGATTTTTTGACTTAACAAGGATGTGAAAGCAATATGCATTCAGTAGAAACCATATTTTGAATTCTGATTCAAAATTCTTTATATCTTTATTATAAAATACGTTTTGTGTTAGATAAGTTTGGCAAACTGTAGGCTAATGTGTTCTGAGCACATTTAAGGTAGGCTAGGCTAAGCTATAATGTTTACTAAATTATGTGTATCAAATGCATTTTTGATTTAAGATATTTTCAACTTCAAATGGGTTTATAAGAATGTAAGCTTACTGTAGGTTGAGAAGCATGTGTGTGTGTGTGTGTGTGTGTGTGCTGTTATTGATCTCAAATTCACGTTTAATTGAGAATCCTGCCATTTATTTTTGTTTGCTAAATATAACAACCTTAAATGTCAATCGAATGTACCTCCCTGATTATTATGAAGTAAAGAATGTTAAAAATATTAATGGGCATCATTATCACCATCATAAAGCCTAGAATATCAGCTGAGCAGGAAAAGAGCAGTCTATAGAGCTGAAGTAAATAATACTCAGCCTAGTAACACAGCCTATAACAAATTTGATGTGAGGGAACTATTTCTATTTAGTAACAGTTTAATTTCATCAAATAGAAACAGTTGAAAATATTGATAAATGGCCAAAGCAAAGTTCCCAAGACACATTTCTATCACATCTTCTAATGTTTGCAGCATTATTGGAAATAAAGACAAATCCACCATATTTAGCAAGAGCTATCCTAAGGCACATGTCCAGTTGGACACTCAGTTTATTATTTCATGTCTTTGAAATACTGAAGTAGAGTATTTTTATAGTAGAAATATCATTACCTGTGATGCGAGAAATCACATTATGGTACAAGCTCTTCCACTTGCCATCTGTGTGATCTTATCTTTTGATCTTGGTTATTTAGATACTCTTTCCTGAGTCTCAGATTCCTCATTCTCATTTATGCCTAGTGTTCCATTATTGGAACATTAAGCTTGTGGAAGTTATTTATGTCCTACTGCTCAAGGTTATCGCCAAAGTCTGATTTTTCACACACAAAAAATTGCAACCTCAGGCATAAATGGGTTAAAAATAGAGTAAAGCCACAGCTCTGCTGTGAGAATTAAATAAATAAGTTATATAAAGAACATTCATAAATCAAAAAATTCCTATGAAACAAGTTGTGTACAAATAATGAAACATTATTTTGTCCCTGAATGGGAAAATGCAATTATTAATGCATGATAATATAATTTTAAAGGATAATTGACAAAAGAGATCAACATTAAAATATTTCTGCTTTGATTTTCTACAAAGCATCAAAATTTAAAGGGTTTAACGTTAAGGCTCCTTCTTCCAATATTCCAGAAACTTAAAACATCTTTAGTGTATCTACCTAGAAGGATTAAATATCTATAGAGAGACCAGCTCACTACATTATTTTTTGAGTTAAAATTTCATATTATTTTTTCATCATGTGTTTATCTCACTTTAATCACTAAATGGTTTTACTGAAATATGAGCCAAGAAACCTACATCTTAGCAAACTGAGAGTATTGTGGTTTTCTATAGAAGATCAGCAATTCGCAATGTCTCCTGGGGTAATCATCTTTTACATTATTTGAGGCATTACAGTACCTTGCGGTGTTATTCAGAGAGCACAGAGTGAGTTGTGCTGCAATGCCAGCCTAACTCTGGAATGTGGTTAATGACGAATGGGAAAATGGGAAATTGCTGTTGTAAAATCTCTAAGAATTTCCTTCCTGTTTTCTTAATTCTTCATCCTTTTTCCATTCTTCCTCAGCAATTGTGGTACTTTTTATCACCCTGAGGCGCAGCAAAAAAGAGCCCTTGATCATTTCAGAAGAGGATGTACGGGAGAACGTGGTCACCTATGATGATGAAGGAGGCGGAGAGGAAGACACAGAGGCCTTTGACATCACAGCCTTGAGGAATCCTTCTGCTGCTGAGGAGCTCAAGTACCGGAGGGATATCAGACCTGAAGTGAAGCTCACTCCCAGACACCAGACATCATCCACCCTGGAAAGCATAGATGTTCAGGAATTTATTAAGCAAAGACTGGCAGAAGCAGACCTAGACCCTAGCGTTCCCCCTTATGACTCTCTTCAGACTTATGCCTATGAGGGTCAGAGATCAGAAGCTGGGTCTATCAGCTCGCTGGATTCAGCAACGACACAATCAGACCAGGATTATCACTACCTTGGAGACTGGGGACCCGAGTTTAAAAAGTTAGCTGAACTCTATGGAGAAATAGAATCTGAAAGAACAACTTAGGGGGTCAGTTCTTGCAACCTTGTGGAATTTGCTTCCTGAGTAAGTGGATATACAACCTCAGCAATGACAAGGAAGAAGTGTGGAAACAGTACTTGGAACTGAGGAAGCTGGACACAGCTCCTGTAGAAACAAGTGCCCTTTTCATGATCGAAACTGGGTTATTTAATTGGAAGAAAGTAAAAAAAAAAAAAAAAAGACAATACAAAGAAAAAGTTATTGTTCCTTGTGTATATTTTCAATTGCTCAATAAAGTCTGTGGTACTGTTTATTAAGAATACCTGAATTAAGCCAAACAATGATATTTGTTTCAATATATTGTGATTTATTTTTTTCAAAAGCAAAACTAAACAGAAAGGCTCAAGATCACTGGTGGTTATGACTTATAGGGGTGGTAACACTAATACAGGAAACTTGTGAAGGTAATCACAACCTCTTTTATCACTTTTCTGGGTGAAACCTTGAGAACCACACTCTGTTATTATAACAGATCTCATTAGCCTTGTCTTGTGTTTATATTACATGAGGTATTTCCACTCTATCATGGACTTGTATGTACCATTTCCCTTTGCCCTCCCCAGTTCTTTTCTCCATACAAAACTGATGGAGCATGGGGATTTGCTGCCTGCACTATAATGTATGCAACTTCAGTGCACCAGTTGTGTGCTGTACTGAGCACGAGACTATTGTCTCTATCCCGTACACCCCCTTTTATTTTAATGGGATACTCCTATTTTTAAATGGACAGAAAGAATAGTTTAAGGTATGTTATGAAAATCTGATATGTCAGGGAATAATTTAATTTTAAAAATAGCCACACACCTTATCTTCTACCAAATGTTGGGGAACTTTTTTTTTCCTTTTTTCCACTTGTTTTATTATATTTAAATCAGCAATTTTGGTCATTTCTCTATTTAAAATTAATTGTCAAATATTTTGCTGGCTGGTTTGTACTTCAGTCTAATTCACTTATTTTCAACACGAGCAGTAATTAAAAATAAGTACCTCACACAATAACAATGTAGTCTGAAAGACTATCCTCCAATGAACGTAAATGTCATAGAATCATAGTTGACTTACATTTATTCCTTACACAGTTTCAGATTTTTTCCATCTCACTGATAATTAGTTTGGTATCAACAGGAAAATGTGTAGGACTAGGAGCAAAAAAGGAGATTCACAGTTATTATCCTCAGATATGTTTCCGAAAGTCTCTGTGTTCAGGGTCCAAACCACAAAGTAGAGATGGCAATGACTTCCCTGCCCACCTCACAGGGTTGTTGTGAGGATTAAATGAGCATCTGTAAAATGCTTTGCCAACTGCAAAGTATTCAATTGCATAAAAGCTTGCAGACGCTTATCTAATTTTCTAGTTTCATTAGCTTATAAATATATATTTACATGCATCTGGCATAAAATATTATCACAGGAGAATTTCATGAAATCTTCAACAGTGAAGCTACTGTTTAAATATATGTACACAATTCCAATTATTTTAATATTTTCATAAGCTAATTTCTGAGAATTTGGGTGGGGCTTTTTTTTTCAAATTGTTTTAGATAATGTTTTGTTGTTGTTGCTATTGGCCTTGAAGTAAGAATTCATACCATAATGGTCCTATTTTCTAAAACTGGCCACATCTATATATTTCAGAAATATTGAAATTCTTAAATACATGAAATAGGAATTAGTTGACACCGGAGTTTTTCCTTTGCTCTTTAAATTTATCATTATCAGTGTCCCCAAAAGTTATATGACATTTTCTGTCTGTTTCTACCCATGTGCAAAATTTTGGATTTTACCTCTGTTTGCAATTGCCCTGTGCTATCATATTATAATTTGAGGTATGGGAAGTAAGTAAGCTTAATTTGAATAATTCTCAATTTGTGTTTTAAGCCTGAGGAATAAAATGTAATTTAAGCTTTTTACGACATTTTAGTTTTCCAGATGCTGCTTTATCCTTTTTAATCTCATAATGGTGTGTGTTCCAGTGTGAGGCTGAATCTGAAGAGGCACTGAGGGGTGTGGGGAGTAACCTCTGGATATACATGCTCTGATGATGCTACTTCTGGATTACATTCACCCTAAAAGAAGGGTAAAATGTGGGCAACTATTGTGGGTACAGGTGTTTTGACTTTTCTCTGCAAAGAGTATCAGGAATGTCAGGTTTTGAAATTCCATGAGGCTTTTGGATTTAAGCTTCAGATAAACTACACACAGAAGAAAACTATGAAATCACGTATCACTAATATGTTTCAGCACGTATTTAAAAAAAATTACACAATAAATTTACAGATGGGGATTTGAAAAATGAAATGTGTGTATACATTGAACAGTTTCTGTAACCTTTAAGTTCCTCTGCATGGATCTGAATACCAAAATATTTCTCTGATTTTGTAAAGCTAAGCACTTCAGATCTATCTTCTTTTAATCACACATTAAAATAACTTTTAATGTGTGCTTCTAAGCTCCCTTATATCAAATCTAAATAATAATGCAAAATGGAGCATCTGTAGTCCATGTAGATTAAAAAAAATTAATGAAAGCATTCCAAGTATTATTTTTATGTAAACTCTAAAACTAAGCAATTATATCATAAGTATGGATTGCTTCTCATATTTTTTGTTTTGCTTCTTTGAGTCAAAAAACAGCAACAACATATAAATGCTGTGCAAATTGACCAGAGTCATTGAACACTCAATATCTTACTTTAAAATCTCTAGTTTTATCAGCGTTAGAAAATAGTTCCCTTAGAGTGTGGTGAGCCAAGAGTTTGTACGTTGACTTTGAGTTTCACTGGCCACAAATAATCGGATATGAAATCACAAGTCATTAATGTGTTCCAGCACATTTTGGAAGCCTTCATTGTTATTTACAGACATAAATAAGATATAGCTTTGAAATCAATTTATTTTCTTCAAATAAGATACTCTTCTACATACAGACCCTGTATATAATCTTGGATGCTAAATTTAAAAAAATTAATAGTATGATAGTATTTTTATCAAAGATTTTTCTTAGCAGAATTTATTAATTGAAAATACTCCTTGTGCAAACATTGAGAAATTAATAACTTTTGCAGAAATTACTTAAATATCTATATAAGATATTCTTCCTATGACAAATCTGTACAAACACAGACATGAAGAAGAGATTGGAGAGGAAAAGATAAGGCTCCATACAGAGTTAGGTTGTGACTTTTCTACAACAAGGTACAAGAAGGAAAATATTCTGAGAGGAATTTAATTTGTTTAACCACATAGGTGGACACACTTATAGGCACATATCTTCTTGAACAATATCTGGAAGGTAAAATGATATTCAAAACAAGGATTTAGATATTGACGTGATCCAAATATCTGATGTATACAGACTTGTAGAACCCAGCATATGGAACACTCAGCTAGAAGTTAATGACCTTTGGCCTTTATTTTGTATCCAGCTTCAGTCTAATCTTTCGGGATGTCAGTTGATTGTAGCTCAGATGTATTTACAGAAAGAGCAGAGAAAATGATCAGAAATCTGGGTAGGAGGAGGGAAGTGTATTGAGTCCATTGTTTTTGGCAATGCAACAAGCTTAATACAAAATTAATCATCATTTTCTTACAGAACTTTACTCGTACGTCTGATTTGGTGTCTTCTTTTTGGTTTAGCTGAATACATATTTTGGATACAAAAACATATCTGAACTCATATCAGAGTCATCAAGAAGTGCCAGTTAACTGAGCATGTTAATGGAACATATTTGAATGCAAAACATTTGGTGTAAGTCTTTATCTATCAGTGTGGACAGTGGTTGATCAGCTGTTCAAAAATTGGGACTCTACAGCTGCATATTATGGAAAGAGGGAAAACTCCCATGTCTCAAGGTCAAATTGTACTTAGCCTTTATCTATGTTATGCCACTGACTTACTTGGCTTCCAGTTTTACAAATAGGTCAAATCTCAGAATAGTTCCTGGGAAATATATGACTCAAATTTGAATTCTCTCTCTCTCTCTCTCTCTCTCTCTCTCTCTCTCTCTCTCTCTCTCTCTTTCTCTTTCTCTCTCTCTCTCATCCCTTGGGATTAAAGCCAAATTAAATATTATCTGAAGAAAAACAATACCACTGAAATTTTTATTTTCTACCTCATCTGCCAAAGTCAAATCTTTTTCCAATATAGAATTAGAAATCTCATAAACCTTACAGCCAAATGTAACTCACAACCATTTGGAGATAAGACCAGCACTCAGAACACAATCACTTTTTCAGTTTCTAAATACATAAATTTAAAATGAAAATATTAAATGCAGTGCTTTTTACCATGTTCCCACTCTTTTAAAGACATATATACTACTCTAACTTGTACCAATGGAAGATGTAGTGATGCAGTTTTTTTTTAATAAAAGAAGAGTTCAGAAAAAAACAACATATTCTTTGAAGCACTGATGAAAAAATGGAAAAAAGGTGTTAGTCAAGGGAGGAATGATTACATGTATACATTTTGCTAAGTTCATGGAAATGAAAGATTTTTGCCCTTCAACACTTCAGAGACATCAAAAACTATTTTAGTAATAATTCTTTTCTCAAACTCTCAGGTGAAAGAGAATAGAGAAAATAAGCATTGAAGGGCTCTTGGAATTATGTCGTACGAGAAAGGCATGTAACATTTATGGATTATAATAGGTTCATCAGATGGTTTAGTCTTATTGCTCACCGATACTAACTTTAGAAACTTTAAAATGGGTCATAATAATTAGAGTTACCCTAATAATTGTATCAAGGCCATTTTTCTTATGTCAAAAATCATCAAATTCTTATTCTAAATTATCTACTGGCAATTTCGAAGTGCCATCTGAAATGCTTTAGTTTCAAACAGAAATTAATACATCCTAGCATTTATTAACTGAGCAAGACGTTCTAAATATGCAATAGATGAAAGATACTGTTCCAGACATTCAGAAGGATGTTTTAAAAAGTGTCCTGGCGACAGTTGTCATCATCAATGAAATTAAAGCCTCATTTAAGGGTTACAACCTGCATGTAAAAAGCTGTGAACAATGCAATATAAAGCAAAAAGTGGTAAAAAAGTGTTCTAAAAGAGATAGATACAATGAAATGAAAGGTTGAGGAACATATTAAAACTGTGTGAGTAATATGCTACACTTGTATCCTGTAGGACCAAGGAGTGATACAAGAGGCAGGGGAAACTGCAGGAGGTAGAAGCCTAGGGGACCACTTAATAAGATAACCAAATGTAGATTATTTGATATGGATTAGAGGATTCATGCATGGAAATTAAGTGAGATGTTAAGAGAAGTTGGATTGAGATTTTAGACAGAATAAAACTCATTCTTTAGCCAATGTCATTGAGTTTATTTTATCACCAAACAGGAATATGACTGTGGCCTGATCTCTGTTTTAGAAAACTGCATTTTTCATTAACATCTACCTGTCAGTGCCAATATATTCAAGAGTCTAGAGTTATGTGTACCTACAGAGAAAATATTAGACTATTTTAATTATTTCTAAAATATAATTACCTATTTTAGGACTATACCTAGAGAAGTTTTTTAACTTCTCTAGGTATAGGCATAGTTATTATACATTTCAGCTTAGATTGTTGGATTCATAGAATTTTATTGATTTGTTCATCTTAACAAAAATAAAATGACAAGAGAGACAATTTTAAGAACAACATTTATTCACATAAATTTATTCTTAACTGGATAAATGTGTCTATTTTCTATAATCATTGTTTTAGATATAAACATATTTTTGAACTAAAAAAAATTCATATACCAAAGACCAGATTGATGCCTTAGTGTGACTACATCAGTTATTTTTAATAAATTATTTTTAATGCATATCAGCACAAATATCACATACTCTTGTGTTTCATTATATAATAATTTATATTCAGATTTATTTTCAAAAAGCATCAATCATACAATATGAAGATGCAATTATTTATTAATATGACGGGTATACTTAGCCTGAAATCCCAACTTTTATATCTTCTGTTTCTCCCTTTTTCTTGTTTCATTTTTACATGCTTACTTTTTACAACCTTTGAAACCTATGTTTGAATATTTTCTATATTTCATGTATTTTTCAGAACAAATTCAAGAAAATGTTTTTCAGAAATAGAAAGTAGTCATGTTGTTTTCAGAGTTTTTATTTTTTAACTCAGTTTCTTCTTTGTCACTAATCATGTTCTTCCTCATCAAAAAGTAATAAAAAATTTGCGTTCATAAAAATGCTCTGTGACAGTCACTTTCCTGTGAGCCTGAGGTTTTATTTAATGATGTGGTTTGGCTTTGTAGCTTTCACAACAATGTATATTTCTAATCTTCTGTAAATAATCCTGCTTTTAGTCTTCCAAAGATAGCTGGGGGGGGAGTTTTATTCATATAAAATATGTTAAATTTCACATGAAATTTTAAAAATCAAAATGGCTTTGATGATCCATTTTGTAAGCCACTAAAATTATAACTGAAATTAAAATAGTCCTTTACTCTTTATAAAGCATTTTCAATACCATGTTATAAAAGTTAGATTTATAACCATTATTTTAAAAAATATGTATGAATTTACAGATGCCCGTTTCTTTACATAAAAGAAAATTTGCAAAGTTGTTTCTTCAGGAGTCCTAACACTGAATAAATTTCCCACGTTTCATCACCTAAGTGATATTTTCTCTTTTCCATTGCACATAAATTTTACAACATTGAGCACACAATGATAAGTAAGTGACTTATGATACGCCAATCAAATAACCCAATTTAAAAAAACTTTAAGAGTGTATATTGAGTTCAGGAGCTCAAGACCTGCCTGGGAAAGAAAGTGGGAAAAGATGTACAAATTAGCCAGATGTGGTGGTGCACACCTGTAATCCCAGCTACTTTGGTGGTGCACGCCTGTAATCCCAGCTACTTTGGTGGTGCACGCCTGTAATCCCAGCTACTTTGGTGGTGCACGCCTGTAATCCCAGCTACTTGGCAGGCTGAGGCAGAAGGATGGCTTGAGACTGGGATGCTGAGGCTGCAGTGAGCGGTGATCACACCACTGCACTCCATCCTGGGCAACAGAGCAAGACCCTGTCTCACAAAAGATAACCAAAACAAAAACAACAATAAAAAACTGTATCTTCTAATTTTGATTAAAGTACAATGCAAAACCTTCTTCTAATTTTTACAGAGGTAAATTCTCCCCAGAATATAATTTCCAAGCTGTGGAAAGGCATCTCCTCTCATCTGTGCCTTCCCATCAACCTTCATCACTATCTTCTTTCCCTTGCCAAGTCTTAAGTTAGCATCCCCCTTGCCATTGGCTGTCTCAGTTTCGGATTGAGAGAATGAGTGAATACCGAAAAGTAGAATGTTTACTAGGACAAACAGTTTTGAAAATAAACAGGTCATGATTCAGCTTCTTGATTCCAATCAGTGTCTTGAATTAAAATATGGAACAGGATAATATTAATAGAAATAATTTCTACCTAAATGAGGTTGTAGGGGAAACAAATGTATGGGAGTCTGAGCTTCAGAACTTGTAGTCCGGAATCTGTGACTATAACTAATTTCATACCTTTAAATGTTAATTTACACATTGTGTACACTTCCCTTCAATTTAAGATAGAAATAATATCTTTATATTGACCTCACAGGGTTGTTATGAATATCAGATATAATTGTCTGCGTGAAACACAGAAAAAGGTAAAGTTTTTGGCAAATTTGGTAACCATATTATTATGGCATCTTTATTGTTCCCTTAATCTTTCCCAGCCTCAAAAAATTGTCACTTTGGTTATATTTAACAAGTAATCAATTTTCTGCAAAGTGTAAGCAAGGAAAACAAGCCATTCCAGGATTAGGTCATTTGATTCATCTTTTCACCATGCGAAGGACAAAGGAAAGTATAAAATTCACAGTTATACTATGTGTATTGAATTTCCTTCAGACTTAGTAAGACAAAATCTAAATATAAAATGACAAATTAGAATTGTGTTATAAATTATGCTCTTTACATTTCATCTCTTTTTTAGCATGTATATAAAAATCAGTTCCACTTGAGATAATTATTTAAAAGCAAATGAAAATTCATTCTTGGACTTTAAAAATGTATATATAATTTAGCTGGGCTAGGCAGCTCATGCCTGTAATCCCAGCACATTGGGAACCTGAGGTGGTAGGATTTCTTCAGCCCAGGAATATGAGACCAGACTGAGCAACATAGTAAGACCCTGTTTCTCTAAATTTTTTTTTTAAAGTATCCGGGTGTGGTGGCACATGCCTGTAGTCCCAGCTGCTCAGAAGGCTGAGGCAGGAGGGTGGCTTGAGCCCAGGAGGTCAAGGCGGCAGTGAGCCATGATTGCACCACTGTACGTCAGCCTGGGTGACAGAGCAAGACCCTGAGACCATGTCTCAAAAAAGAAAGAAAGAAAAATATAATTGAAATGTTTACAGCAATAATATTTGGGGATATGTTAAAACTCTAAATATTAAAGAGAAAGAGAACTCATTAGCATAGTCATGAAGTATATTTTGCATGTTCAAGGAAACATACTTCTATATCATTTGAGTCTGTTCTTCAGTTTTAATCAAAGAAATATGTCCCTATTTTAAACAGCATTTGGACAAAATAAAAATGGTTTCACCTGCCAGGCAATAAAACTTCATATTCCACATATAGAAAGAGAAATAATTTGTTTTCATAGAACATAGCTTTGTTTTGATGAAGTAAGTTTTCTCAGCACACAGTGACTTAAAGCAGGTCTTATCAGAAATAAGATTATATTTTTTGAAGAAATTTCAGCCCCTCTCTGTCAAATGACAGCTTAACCTTGTTTACTGAAAAGGCAGAAATCACAGGTTAAGTAAAATAACAGAATTCCACATCTTTGCCTTCAACCTTTCCAAATCTTACTTTGTTTCAATGAACGACTTTGACATCTACAAGTCTTCCTAGATCCCACTGAAGTCAGCTTCGCTAGCTACATGTTTTTTCTTTCAGTTACTTAAAAAATTGTTCTGTCAAATTTTTATTCAGCCTTTATCCCAAGAAGACCACTGAAGATGTTAAAAATAATTACTTAGAAAAAAATCAGAGTATTGGTGAAATTGCACCATTTTCTAAGAGTATCACTCCCTGGTACACTTAATAACTTATTTTTACCAGTGGTTTCTTAAAGGTGATCAACAGTCTAGCTAGGTTATACTTAATTTCTTGAAGAACAAGTTTAAAAATAGCAGAACTGAATGTTTATCCTCAACATAAAGGTTATGACAATTTTATTTACTATGAAACAGACCATGACAGTAGGGAAGAGAAGTAAATAAAGAATTGTTTTATAAAATGCTGGGGACCATGCCTGGAAGTTTAAGGCCGGGGGTAGAGAAAAAGAGGTTAGAAAATTTGAGGTTGAAGAGTTTTGTTTTATTTTGTTTTTTTTTTTGTTTTGTTTTGTTTTCAAATGGCATTGGGGAAACTTATTTCCTTCTGGTCAGTGACACTTTTAAATAAGAAAACATGCCTACCACTAAGCACAGACACCAACGAAGGCCAGTTTGGCCAATCAAATGAGAAAAGGGGCATAAAAAGACCAAAGAGTTGAAACACGAAAATAAATGCTTTATATTGCCCAAATGATTGCAACAAAACACTTAGTCAATTGAGACTAAATGACTAATAGCAGTCATTTTCTGTATAACCTTTAGAAGACAAATATTTGGTAATAGGAAAAGGGACTTAGTGTGGGTTTCTTCTTAGGGAAGTTCACAATCGTTAGTTTTTCAGATAGAAATTGGCAGAAGAAATAAAACTACCCAAATATAATATGGAGGAAAAATTTCAGGGATCAAAACCAAATTAGCATAGGAGGAATAAATCATCAGTCTGAGGACGTACAGCTAGATCTGAAGTCCAGGTCAAGGTTCTGATAGAAAACGTGTTAGGGCAAGCATAGAAACAGTAGCAAAGTTTGCCAGTCCCATATGAGTATTGGATGCATCCCATGTGAAGGTGTGAATATATATATATATTTGCATACCTGAGAACATTAAGCTTTTCCAGGAAAAGATAGTTGAAAAACATCAACCCTGGTCTTAAGTACCTTAAGGTATTTCAAAATATTTTAATCTAGAAAAATAGCAGTAGATAAATCCTATCACAATTAAAAAGTTATGAATAAAAATTACCTCTCAGGTATCCATAAGTTGTGGCTAGAATGGAGGAGAAAATAGAATCTGAAGGAGTGGCCAGGTTTTCTTCTAGATTCTGCATCATACCTAGTCTATGTCAGGATTTTCACATATGGGGTGATGTTTGAGTGTTTATACTTAGATGTTCATGATTAGTTATGGTATAATGACATGGTGTTATTATCGACTCCCTATAATCTCTCCAACGAGCTCTCAAACTTAAATTGGGATTATTGTTTATCAGATGCATGTATTATCATAAAGTAGATCAATCTACAAAGCATGGCTGCTGCTGGATTATTGTCAGTGCAGTCATTGAATTCCACGGAGAAAAGAAGAAACTGTCTTTAGAGGAAACACAAATCAATAAACAAACAAACTACTACTGTTGATGAAAATCAGATTAAATAGTTTATTTAGTCATAAAATACACTTAAATTTTATAACTAATAATTATGTATGCATGTATGAATTAAGAAAAATAAGAAAAATAGAATATTTGAACTTCCCTTTGAGCATATTCTTAATTATATTAACTTCTATTCTCCCAGACGTAGCCACTCTTTTGACTGTTGCTTTTGCTTACAACTTCTGCAGTGTGTATTTTTGCACCTTATTTCAAGTGAATCATAGTTTAGGTATTCTTCTGTGATTTTCTTTTTCTTAGTCTTTTTTGAATTCTCAAATGCTTTGTCCCTAGTTGAAGCATTTGTTTCTGGATTTCATACAGTAGTATTAGTCAGTCATCTGCTGCTATTGGAGAGTTCTCAGGAATCTCCCAGAAGAGTGGTTCATGTCAGTCTAAGATAATTATGCAAAAAAGGCACCCACGACAGCTTGAAATAGTGCACCCACCAGTAAAGGGAATCTAGGTGGGCCACCAACAATATCTGGCTTGTGAGTTCTCCTCCTTCAGAGTGTTAATTGCCACACTTTCTAATGTTTATAAAAACATTGCATTCCTAAAAAGGACTCAAATGGTATACATTATTTTAATAGAAATTGATGAAATCAATCTGCTAATATGCTTTGCCTTTTTTTTTGTATCTGTATTCATGAGTGAAATATAATTTCTCACACCATTTTTTCTAATTTTGGTGTCAAGGTTATTCTAGCATCAAAATAGAATTTAGGGACTTTCAGCATATTTTTATTCTCTGAGATACTTTACAGATTAAAAAAATTGTTCTTTGAAAACTTCTTGGGATTCATCTGAAATATTATCTGGGCTTATATTGTAGGAATGAGCCAAAGAAAACAAGAGTGAAATTACCAACTACAGTCACATGTTCAATGCTTAAAGGCACATTTAGATTTTCTGATTATTTTTTAGTCAGTTTCTGTAAAATTAAACTGTTCCAGGTTTTTGTTTGTTTGTTTTGTTTTGTTTTGTTTTGTTTTTTTGAGACGGAGTCTCGCTCTGTCACCCAGGCTGGAGTGCAGTGGCGTGATCTCGGGTCACTGCAACCTCCGCCTCCCGGGTTCAAGCCATTCTCCTGCCTCAGCCTCTTGAGTAGCTGGGACTACAGGCACGCGCCGCCACGCCCAGCTAATTTTTGTATTTTTACTAGAGACGGGGTTTCACCTGTTGGCCAGGATGGTCTCGATCTCTTCACCTCGTGATCCGCCCGCCTCGGCCTCCCAAAGTGCTGGGATTACAGGCGTGAGCCAGTGCGCCTGGCCGATATTTTTTCTTTTAAAAACATTTAAGCATTTTTAGTTACTAAATACTATTATGATGTTAATATTTTTTCAATATCTACTACCTCTGCATTTAGCTCTCCCTTTTTATCCTAAAATGTTTTAAGCCTCTTCTGTTTTCTTTTTCTCACACATGCAAGAAATTTGTCAATTTTATCACTTTTCAATCAATACATTACAATACATGTCAATCAATTTTGATATAACATCTTTAAAAAATTTTTTCTGATTTCTATTCTCAGCTTCACATACTTTCAACTTCTTACTGCTTTATTTTGATTCTTTAATTGACTTTTATTAAATACTTTGTTTGAAACAACTAATATGTTCAGATTTTCTTAGTTTCTAATACTAACCAGGATACTAATTTCCCCCACCTCTTTGTAACTGTTTTATTTATATTCATTAAGTCGTTAGTATCTCCTATAACACACAGGAGCCTACGTCTCAGTGTTCATCAGAATAGAAGTTTATTTCTTGCTTGGGTTTGGTCTAAATAAGTCTTCCTGATTGTAGTTGGATCTCCCCCAAGCAGTGGTCCATAAATCCAGCTACCTTCCATTTCATATCTCTGATATCACCAAGGATCCTTTGCATCCATGGAGAAAATGTGGCCCACTGCTTCATCACTTCCGCTCATATTCCATTTGGTGAGATCTTGGTATTTTGGTGAGATCAGGCTCACCTAGAGGCAAGAAAGAGTGTAAAATGTCACTGATTATGTAGCCATTTACCAAAAATAAACCTTCTGGAAAAGAGAGCAGGAATATTCGGCAGACAGCGCTTAATCTTTGCCACAATATGAACCAAAACTGTATGTACGGTAATCATCGTGATTCACTTTTAAACAACTTCATTTGCCATTAGGCTTTTCTCTTGAACAAAGAGATAATGAAAACTTTTAAAAAAATTGCTAAATTTTCTTCATTTGTTAATTGTATTTGCCATGTGTTTTTAATTTTCTTGCATTGTGGGCAAATAATTTTGTCTGAATTATACCATTTTTAAACTTTTTTTGAAATTCATTCTGTGCAAAGTATGGGCTCTGTTTTAAAAAGACACTGAATTATCTTAAAAACATTGTGCATTCTTCATCTCATGAGTAAATGTTTCCAAAAATTTCAATTATTAATCACATTTTTGCTTAAAAAAATCAAGTAGTGACACAAGTGGACATATTCTCATTCCGATTATGTATTTTTTAATTTCTTTGTAATATTGTTCATTTTGCCACATACATTTTAATGTTGTACTACATTTTTACACACAGTTTTAGAACCATAGCTTCAATTTGGATATTTGCGTATAGTAACATTTTCTGTTTCTAGTAGTGGTTTTTATTTTAAAGTATAATTTGTTTCATATTACATAGCTTTTCTACTCTCCATTTAAGTGATATATTTTATGCTCTTCTGTGTTCACTTTTTTGCCCTTATATGCTACGAGTAGATCTTGTAAATTATATATACTTATAATTACACATTTACTTCCATGCACACAAATATACCACTTCACTTCCTTTCATATTTTATCAAACAAAATGTCACAAACCTATACCAACCTGAAGCTAATTACTAAGTTCATTCATCTGCGAAAAAAAGAGAACAAGCAACATTGATCAACAGCATATCGTGATTTTTGTCATATTTGGTTTTAGTTTTACAATGTTAATTTTTAAATTATTGTTAATGATAGTAATATCTTTTTAATTCCATTTTGTTTTGAATATTTCTTGCTATAATATTTTATATGACATATTTAGAAATCATAGCTTTAACTTTTTAAAAAATATATAATGACATTCTTGACCTGTAACATGTATGCTTTGCTCAACGAAGTTGAAAAATGAATAAAAATTATTATTTGTTGGCATGAATTTCAGAACATTTTATGAAAATTACTATCCTAACAACTTATACTGTCCTGTACCCAATATTTACTTCTAATTTGTTCTGTTGGTCATATTTAATCTTTGTCTAAGTTTTCACAATACTTACCTTATATTTAACACCATGTTGGCCATTTTCCTTACAAAAAATTCACTGAATCTTAAATATATTCCTGGGATCAATTTTCTAAATAATTTTATTTTTTATAAGTTATCTTTGACTTGTGTTCAGTATGTCTTGATTTTGCTGTGATTTTAGAAGCAAAGTTTTACCTTTTTTTTTTTCTAGCTAGGGCAATGTACTGCCCTGAAATTGTTTATGTAATATTTCTCTGTGTTTTCGCTTCTATTGCTTCTGACTAGAAGTGAGTTCATACCCAGCTTGGCTTTTTTGTTTGTTTGTTTTTTGTAGTAACTTGCTCTTCTCTGACTGTTTTAAACTTCTTTATTTTTGTTTTTGGTGTTCCTGAATTATAAATTTTGAATTTTGCATATTATGTATTTACCTGTAAACATGTTTGTATTTATAACTTTGGGGACCTGCCATGCTTCTTGAATATGATAATTTATTCTTTCATTTATATAAATGTATTCACCATTAATTATCTTTTCAAATATTGGCTTATTTGTATTTCTTCTACCTTACGCTCTTGTATTTTAGATTTCACTTTCACTTCCCAGTGTCTTAACTACTCTTTAATATTGTTTTTATATTTTATCTATCTGTTCTGCATTCTGGATAACGTTTTCCAATTTATCCCTTAGTTCATTAATGTCAACCTATGTGTGAGGGTAACCACTTTTGTTTACCCTCTCTGAAAGCCATCCTTTGAGTTCTCATTTGTATTACTATATTGTTTATTTCAAAAATTATTTTACAATATTCTCACAGTTGATTTATCATTCTTATTTAAATAAACTATTTTTAGAACACTTTTTAGATTTATAGGAAAATTGTGGAAATATTATGGAGGGTTCTCATATATCTCACATTCTGGTTCTCCTGTTGCTATAAACGGAATGTTGTATCCTCCACAAATTTATATGCTGAAGCCCTAAGCCCCAGTGTGATGTATCTGGAGATGACGCATTTGGGAGTTAATGCAGGTAGATCCCCCAGGATGAGACTAGTGTCATTATAAAAGAGGAGAGAGACCATCTACCATCTTTCCCTCTCTCCCTCTCTACTCCCTCTCTCCCTTACTCTTTCTCCACCATGTAAGGATACATTAATGAGAAGTCAGCCATTTCCAAGCCAGAAAGAAGGCCCTTGCCAAGGACTAGATTTTGGCATCTTAAACTTAGGCTTCCAGGCTCTAAACATGGAAGAAAATAAATTTATATTGTTTAAGCCACCTAGTCTATAGTATACTGTTATGACAACCCAAACAGACTAATACATCTATTTTATTTATTTATTTATTTATTTATTTATTTATTTATTTATACTTTAAGTTTTAGGGTACATGTGCACAATGTGCAGGTTTGTTACATATGTATACATGTGCCATGTTGGTGTGCTGCACCCATTGACTCGTCATTTAACATTAGGTGTATCTCCTAATGCTATCCCTCCCCCCTCCCCCAACCCCACAACAGGCCCCGGTGTGTGATGTTCCCCTTCCTGTGTCCTTGTGTTCTCATTGTTCAATTCCCACCTATGAGTGAGAACATGCAGTGTCTGGTTTTTTGTCCTTGGGATAGTTTGCTGAGAATGATGGTTTCCAGCTTCATCCATGTCCCTACAAAGGACATGAACTCATCATTTTTTATGGCTGCATAGTATTCCATGGTGTATATGTGCCACATTTTCTTAATCCAGTCTATCATTGTTGGACATTTGGGTTGGTTCCAAGTCTTTGCTATTGTGAATCGTGCCGCAATAAACATACATGTGCATGTGTCTTTATAGCAGCATGATTTATAATCCTTTGGGTATATACCTATAGATTGAGAATTCCTTATCTGAAACACCTAGGACCAGAGATTTTTGGATACCAGAATTTTTTTCTTATTTTGGAATATTTCATATGCAGGATAAGATATCTTGGGGAGGGGACTCAAATCTAACATGAAATACATTTATGCTTCAGATATACCTTATACACATAGCCTGAAAGTATTTTATACAATATTTTAAATAATTTTGTTCGTGACACAAAGTGTGTATACATTGGACCATCAGAAAGCAAAGGTGTAACTCTCTCAGTCACTCGTGTGGACAGTAGTTTATCTTTCTGTTTCCTAAGGTCATACATGGTGGTCATTTCAATGTGAAACTCTCCTGGAAGATGTTTCACATGGCCACCATTTTCCCGTTTCTCCAACAGCTTGATTTTCTGTGCTGTAAACATAAATGCTGACTCTTTTTGTTGTGACCGCTACCCATATCACTGTTACCCATGTAACCATATTACATGGACATACATGACTTAACCACGGTTGATACTGACCTTGAGTGCTTGGCTGAGGTAGCACTTAATAGGTTTTTCTGCTGCAAGTTTACTCTCTTTTATGTCTTTCTGTACTATACTGTTAGGAAGGAAGCCCATATTGAAGAAGCAGGGAGTCATACTCTACATTCTTGAAGCTAAAGGAGATACATAAATTATTTGGAATCCTTCTTTATGAGAATTTGTCTTTTCTCTCCCATGTATTTATATATTCAATCATTTATTTATATCAGCACATTTTATGATATTTACTTTATAATTTGTATTATAATCTAACACTTTTTATTTTGTTCCTCAAATTGTTCCACCTTCGATCATCAGTTCTCTCTCAATAGGCTTCTGTGTGCTTTCGGCCTTCCACCATTGATGTGTGTTTGTTTTTGTTGTGGAGAATTTTTAGTAAAAAAAATTATTTGTGGTTCTACACAATGCTCCAGACCCATCTTGTATATATCCTATATCTGTAGTAGCATTAGCACTTTCTTCAAGGACTCTTTTATTGTAAAATAGTATCAGAAACCAAGATTTGGGTGATAGGTTTTTTTTTTTTTTTTTTTTTTTTTTTTTTTTGAGATAGAGTCTCATTCTTTCACCCAGGTGCAAAATCCACTCACTGCAACCTCCTCTTCCCTGTTCAAGCAATTCTCATGCCTTAGCCTTCTGAGTAGCTGGGACTACAGATGCACATGGCCACACATGGCTAATTTTTGTATTTTTAGTAGAGAAAGAGTTTCCCCATGATGGCCAGGCTGGTCTCGAACTCCCGACCTCAAGTGATCTGCTCGCCTCAGCCCTCAAAGTGCTGGGATTACAGGCATGAGACACCGCGCCAGGCCTCAAAGTATTCTCTTTCCTACTGTAATGTTATTGCTGCACAGCCTTCAGGTGTCAGAGTAAAAAAAAAGTACATTCAAATAATAATGTACTTATATATACATATACATAAATATACATATATGTAACCATTTCTATCAAGGCAAAATAAGTTAACATAAGTTAAGGGAATAAGTTAACATTGTTGTCTCAAGTCTAATCCATGACCACATGGATCAGTCTATTCTCCTAGCTTACTTAGCTATAAACTCCCCTTCTGACAATGAGAAATCTGACTTCCATTATTGCCATTCATTTACTTAATTGATTAATTCCAGTATACATGAATTGCAATATCACGATTGTTAACACCTGTACCTGTAGGAAACAACGTTATTATCCAGAGTACAAGGCTTAGTAGTATCTTTTGCCTTGTGTCTTACAAAACTTAAACCTTTCCCAAGCCACTTAGGTCAGTCAGCAAATTTTATCCCCTTGAGCCTCAGTGAGATTGCTTCATAGATTTATAGTAATGTTAGTTTATTTTATCTATTCAACATTCTATCCATGGATTCCTTGACCTTCCTAAATGGTTTTTGTAATTAGCATCTTATTAAGATTCACACTTTGTGCTGTAAAATTCTATAGGTTTTGACAAATATATAGTATCATATACCTACCATTAGAGTATTACACATTATAGTTTCACTGTGCTGAAAATACAATGTTTCCCCTAGTAAACACCCCTCCCTGGAACCCTGGTAACCAGTGATCTTTTTTCCCTGTCTCTGTGGTTTTGCCTTTTCCAGAATGTCATATAATTGGAATAATAAAATATTGAGGCTTTTCAGACTGGCTTCTTTTATCTAGTAACATATTTTCCATGAATTTTTTCATGGTTTGATAACAAATTTATTTCTACAATCAAATATTTCACTGTATGGGTATAACACAGTTTGTTCACGTATTGTAGAATATTTTGCTGGATTCCAGTATTTGAACACTATGAATAAAAGCTGCCATAAACATTTGCATTAAGGTTTTTGTGTGGACATAGGTTTTCAAATCAGCTGGGCAAATATCTAGGAACATGATTGCTGGATTGCATTGGAAAATTATGTTTAGCTGTCAAACTGTCATTATCTTCTAAAGTGGCTGCGTCAATTTGCATTCTGACCAGCAATAAATGAGAGGTCCCTGACTCCTGATCCTGGACAGAATTGTGTATTTTATTTACTGATTGATTTTTGGCTGTCCTTATAGGTATCTAATGGTCTCTTGTTGTTTCAATGTATATTTCCCTAATGACAATGACATTGAGTATCTTTTCATATACTTTCTGCATGTCCTTTCATTTTCATCTTATATATTCATTAGTAAAATATCTGTCCAAATTTTCTGCCCATTTTTACAATTGGGATGTTGTTTTCTTGTTGTTGAGTTTTAAAAGATCTTTTCAATGTTTCAAATACAAATCTTTATCAGGTATATATTTTGCAAATATTTTACCCTATCTGTGTCTTTTATTTTGTTCACAATGCTGTCCACAGAGCAGAAGTTTTTAACTAAAACTAAGTCCAGATTATTAATATTTTCTTTCACGGACTGTGCTTTTGGTTTTTTATATAAAAATACATTGCCAAATTCATGGTAACCTATATTTTCTCCTATTATATTCTAAATGTTTTATAGTTTTTCATTTTACCACTAGGCCTATGATTTATTTTGAGTTAATTTAGTAATGGGTATAAATCTGTGTCAAGATTCATCTTCTTTTTGGTTTTTAATATAAAGTTTAGACTCAGTCTGTACTTATCTACAAAATGGTTTACTAGGATTGGGAGCAGGTTATGCTGAATTTCTAGATCAATTTGGCAAGAATTAAAACTTTTAAAAAAGATTGATTTTCCCAAGTCATAAACACAGAATCTCTCTCCATTTATTGAGACCTTTGATTTCATTCATCAGTGTTTTGTATTATTCATATTTGCTATGGAACCAGTTATGGTCTGAATGCTTATGTTATCCAAAATTAACATGTTGAAACCTAATCACCAATGTGACGGTATTATTAGATGGGAATTAATTAGGACATGAGGGCAGAGTTATCAGAAATGGGATTAACCCCCTTATAAAAGAAGCCCTGGAGAGCTGCCTTGCCACTTCCACCATGTTGGTACCCAATGAACAGGCATTATCTATGGACCATAAACCTGTCTCTCGTTGGAAACTGAGTCCTGAGTCCGCTGCTGCTTTGATCTTGGGCTTCCAGCCTTCAGAACTGTAAGAGATATATTTTCATTGCCATATTTTTATTATTATAGTTTTACACTTATTATCCTATGATCTAGGGGTATATTAAACTGTAAATATTTTTAATTTTTGATATCAAAAAACTGTATACAAGTGGCACAATCAACATTCTTTTAAATAGTCTATGGATATGCAAGAAAATGTATTATGTGTCCAAGAAATGCGGTGTCTTATATATCTAAAGTGGCTGGTTGTATAATATAAAAAGTACTTTTTTTCTTCTCATTAATGACATTAAAGGGTGGTCTGTTCAATTCCGGTTTCTAATATTTTAGGTGAGAATGGTGAAACTAAATATTTTCTTTTTTATGTTTTCATTAAGTAATTATTATTTCTGGCAGCTTGTCCACTTTTCTTGAATTCAGGGTGCTTATTAAAAATGTCTAAAGTTGCATGGCTTTTCACAATTTCACTTTCTCAAATTAAAGGGCTTTTTCTGATTTTGTGGGTATTGTCTTCTACTATTTGTTTAACTGTTTCTCTCTTCCATCTGTTCTTTCTTATCACGACAATATTTTGACTAGCATTTAAGAGTTGCTGGAACTCTTATTCATTGATGGATCCTGTTTCTTCGAATTTTTCTTTGAGGTGGTAGATACTGCTGTTTCGTATCATAGGTCACTAATTTGGAGATACTAATAGTAATGATCTGCCTTTAAATTTATCTACTTGTGCTGTGGTTTTGGTTATTAATATGTAGCTCTAGAAAGTATGTGATTCTGTTTACATTTCCTTATATTATCAAAATCATTTACATGCAAATATAGGCTCTTCAAAATACATTTCTTGGTTCAGGCATCGTATTTAGCTCTTTCTTTATGGTAGTGCTATCTAATACAAATACAGTATGAAATAAGATGTTAGATAGTTTTACAAATGTGAGCATATACATTTATGGGAAGACAAGTAATTTTTTTTAGTTTCCACATCAAAAATCAGTAAAGAGAAACAGATAAAAGTAATTTGATAATATATTTTATTTAGTGCAATATATCTACATAGTATTACTTCAATATGCAATCAATATAAAAATTCATAGGATATCAATTTTATTTTTGTTGTAGTTTTAAAACTTGCTGTATGTTTTACACTTAAAGAATATCTCACTTTTGTTACCAAATTTTCCTCAGTCTTTCGTTATCAAATATTTATCAGTTATAATGTAAAGACATTTGGGTGGCTTAATATGATATTTCACAATTTTCTTTGTGTTTAGTCCTGGTTCTTAAGAAACACAAAGGATAAAGTGCAAAAATTTTCCTTGCCTTCTACCAATGTTACAATAAGGGAGACCTCAGCTGATCCATTTAGTTTCTTTCTCTTTGGCTTACTTGGTGCCAGAGATAACAGAGATTATGACAGGAAACCAATATATTGGCTCTCTTAGGGCCAAGCTATGAAAAGATACATATACACACACAAGCATGATGATCTCAAAAAAGATAAATGGGAATTTTTATGAACTTCAGCAGTCTTCCATAATAAAAACTTTCAGGAAACCAATAACAGAAAATATATAACTTAATAAAACCTCTCCACTACAAATAAAGGTAAGAACTCTCATTTTAGTCTTGAACTCTGTTAGGAAAATGAGTGGAACACTCGTTGTTGAGTCTGCTATTTAATATAGAGAAAGTATGATCAGATAAAAAAAGAAAAGAAAAAATAGTAAGAATTGAAGGAAAAAAACTGCCTTTGTTTGAGATAATTTGATTTTCCAGGTAGAACATCTGAGCAAATCTGGAAACAACTTATTAATGGAAAAAAGAGATTAATCGTATTGCTAGACTGAAGTTTACTGGGGATAAATGAGTACATTTCTTCTTTTCTTTTATGAAAACAACAGTTTTGAGTGTAGTACTACTAAAAGAAGGTATTGTTCTGAATAAAAACCATAATTCTCAGACCTTTCTGTCTATATTACCTGGAATATGGATTAGTCATTTTGCAATTGATGTTTGAATTCTACATACGTGTGACCTTCATCAACTAATTATAGCAATCAAAATTAATGGGCAGATAATTCTATATCATAATGCATAGAAAGATAACTTTTGGGCATTGTATGCATGAAGGAAGCATATAATCAACTGTCACATTTTTGGTTTGTTTTCTAAGCAGTTTTTTTTTTTTTACAAAATGTGGTTAACCCCTTAGCAATATTTTTATCCCACTGGGCTTTTACGATTAATTTTTAACACTGCTTTGATGGAAAGACAAGCTCTATTCCTTTCTCTTCTTAATTGATGGATAAATTAATATTTTCTTCTTTGAATCCACAGCTTCAAACATTTTCTTGACATCGTAACATAGCAAAAAATAAAAAGATGCAATAATTTATCTGATAATTTATAATGTATACTGTATCATAGTATTGTTCAATAAAATATTCACCAAGAATTGAAATTTCTATAATCCATGCTTCCCAATATAGCAGCCATGAGCCACATGGAACTACTGTACAAACCATAAACTGAATTTTCACTATATTTAATTTTAACTGATATAAATTTACATAGTCATGTTTGTGGCTAGTGGCTATCCTCTTAAATAGAATAGTTGTAGCTCAGCATAGCTATTAAAATGTGTCTTTTATTGTATTGTGTATTTAGACATTAATATACTCTAAAAATGTGTCCTCTGGTCAGCTTTTAGGAAATAATTCTATTATTCATAGATCAAAAGGAAAAAGTTTTTTCTTTCCAACCTAAAATAGATTGAGCTTGACTATTGTATTCTCCAAGTACTCTTACAGAGGCTCACTAAATAAATGAGCCAATTAACTCCTTAAGGGCAAACAATAATAATTTTGTTTATTGGGAGAGCAGAAACAATGTGTCCTCATTTAGAGAATATACAGATTATGAACTGAAAGAAATAATTTAGTTCGAAACAAAATAAATGTAGTTATGTTCTGTTTCGTGTTTGTTCGTTTTCTCCAACAATCACTGCCATGGGAACTTCAACATCACTTGGTTCCAAGTGGCTACAGATTTTTTTTAAGTTTACAAATTTACTGAGACATAACCGACACAAAATAAGGTTCACATTTTTAAAATGTTAATTTTTATAAGTTTTGATGTATGCATGTATTCTATTACTGCAATGAAAATGTCAATTTTTTTTTACTAGAGTTTAGCTGTAACTTTGGCAGAAAATGAACTGAAGTAGGAAGTCAGATATTTTACAATTTTACATTTTTACAATTCTGTCAGTATAAAGTACTGAATATCTTCGCTACTGACATAAAATAATGCAAGTAAATAATATATCCACAGTTATATTTAAAATCCAAGGCTTGGAATAGTTACAGAATCACTACAGTATATGGAAGAGTTAGAAAGTAATGCGCTGTCAACCAAAGCTAATTTCATTTAGATATCATCCCTCCTCTTCATAGTGAGCTTAGGCTACATGAGCATTTGGAGAATAGAATTCAAGGCACTTAAATCATGACAGGTAAGAAACTTGGCTCCCTGGCAAAATAAGTCAAACTTATATGAGATGTCATTTTATGTGATTTCAAGGATTGACAATATTAATCCACAAGTGCTTGGAAGGTACTCATTCTGAAGGAAAATGGGATACCATAAGAGTGGAAGTACGCAATGAGAAATATTATTCTATAGACTTCTGTGTAGAATCACATATAATTCTATTCATTAAAAATTTTATTGAATAAATGTATGTATATAACATTTTGTGTGTATATTTAAAGTCTCTAATATATACATGTATATTAGAGATTGCTCTAATGATTCTGTATTTTATGTCTTTTCAGGACCCCAGTTACTTCTATCCCTTATTTTACAATACATTAGGTTATAACAAGTTATATAAAATGTCATATAATCATTATAGCAAAAATCATAACATTTTTCTAGCTCCTTACAACTTCCCAAATTATTTTTGATGAACAGCTATTGAGGTAGGCAAAAAATTGTGCTTGTTTGTTTTTAATTTTGCAAGAGGAAACTGAAAGTCAATAGTGAAGCAAATGCATGCTTTTTAATGATGCTTCAGCTAGAGAAAAACACTTTCATTCTTCTATCATGGACTATGTGCTCTGCATCACTAACTTCAATTTAAATTTAACTTAGCCTCCAAATACAAATAGAAGCCATATGATATATATGACCAAATGCCCAATGATGGACGCTATCTTGCCAAGTGATCAAACAATGATAACTAGCAGCATGATATAGTGAAAAGTGTATCAAACTGAAACCAGGAAACAAGACTGTCTAGGTATATTCCCTCCCTTTCATGGTTAGCTTTCATTACATAAGGTTTTGGAGAATAGAATTCAAGGAACTTAATAACAACAGAATAAGTAACTTGCCTGAAGACAAGCTGCATGCTATAACAAAAAAGATTGATTAATGCACATGGCCCCTAACTTACTACACACCTTAACAATTTCACAGTTATTTTTTTTCCATTCCCTACTCTGACTTCACTCAATTTAAGCTATTTTTATTTTAACATTTAATGATCTGTATCAAAGAGAATAGATATTCCTAAGAATGCATATCTAGAAGCTGTAGTTCTTTCATTAATATGCTCATTTTCAGATTTCCTTGTTTTAAATTTACCTAATAAGAGTCTTGAAAATTCAGTCTTTGCAATCGGTAGTCAGAGGCAGGTATTTTACACGTGAGTCATACATGCTAAACTCAGTGAGTTTCTTCTGAAACTTTGACTACATTTTGCCATAACTTTATGATTCTTCAATATTTATGATTTTTTACATGAAGACAAAATGATTAGTTTATTATTACCTTTTGTGCAGTAGAATATCAAGAATAAGTTTGAAAACTTGAATTTTTAAAAGTAATAAGTGAGAGTTCATATTTCAAATTTGACATCTTTAATGGATTACAAGAACATTAAGAAATAAAATCATATGTGCTAGTGAGAGAATAATATACAAGTTTTCTTAGAACTCCATAATTCCAGAGTCTTTCAAACCCTTTGCATAATATAGTCATATAACCACATTAGAAAAATGAAAAGTACAGAAAGAAGGAGAGTATGACCAAACATAAAGAAAGTTAACAATTTTGACAAATTCTTCTATGATAACATCAAACAAAAGATATGAAAAAGCAACACGCATATTTTAGAAAAGAAGAAGCAAAGGAAACCGAACCACAATATTAACTCCTTTGCCATCATTGCATTAAAGAAGCACTTACTGTTTCTCAGTTTGGGATTTGTTGCTGCCATGAGGTTTTTTTCCATGGAAAGCAAACCCTAGTTTTCCACTCAAATACCAAATTTGTAGGGCATTCAGGTAGGTGTTGGTCTGCTCTTGAGTCAATTATTGCATGCTATTCATTCACACACAGGACTCACAACTGAATTTAAGTCTCAGTCCAGGAAAAATTTAATAACTCCAAGACTGTCTTAGATATTATAGCTTTATTTCCAGGTGGACAACACTAATATATTTGAAAAAGTAAGTTTATAAGTCTTATACCTAAAACATAGTATGTTTTATATCTTTGATATCTTAACATTAATTTTATTTATTCTGTCACCTGATTAACTTAATATCTCTTAATCTTGCTAACACTTGCAATGCTAAGAATGTAGCCACTAAAAACCCTTGATCTTAGTTCTTCTCAGACATGGCAAGGTCAGCAATGGCTATCTATGTCCTAAGAGAGCTACATTCCTTGAAGATTTTAAATAGGGTAAATGCACGTACTAAACACGATAGATACCCATCTTTAGCTTCATTACTTAGTTGCTTATGGTTTGAGTTAGAACAGACATATGAACTAGTCTACAATCAGGAAAACCAAATAAGCACCAGGGATTGTTGAACTACTATTTCATTTAAACTTCATAATGACTTTAGAAGTTAAGAATCAATGTTTTCCATAGGGATTTTGAGAGGTAAAATAACTGCCCAAGGTCTCACAGCTTTTTGTTGGCAGAATTTAGTTCAAAACATGGATTTCTGAATTCATGGAAGCATATAACTACATGTGCTCAGCATTTCTCTTAGCAAAATAATTGATGTTTACTCACTTGAAATCAAAATATAAGCTATAAGTTAGTTCAAAACTCTTAATCCAGGCAATCTTTTTTTCAAAGAAGACAGTATAAATGTCTTATGAGTGTTTTCATTTTCTAGGGATTTTGGGATGGGGAGGGTGGCTGAGGATCACATTAAATTACAAAACAGTGACCTACTGAAGACTACCTCTATCAACATTAGTTTGAATTATCTGTGCCAATATATCGTAGACTAGTCAATATATCATGGAATAGAAATACATATTTCATTATATAATTTTTACATTGTACTGTTATTTGACAGAAATTATTCACAGAATGTAGCACTTTAAAAATACAGGTAATTATGTTTTGTAACGATAAACTTTTCAATTTCTGTGACAGACCTCCTAGTGGAAACTACCAAACACATTAATTATTAGCATCCTGCCTTTAGAAGATGGATAACTTGAATATTCCTTTATCATTGAATTTAACTATAAGCTTTACGTATACATATATACATATGCATATATACATATATACGTAAACATATATATGTATATATGTGTATATATACGTATATGTGCATATATACACATATAAGTATGCATATATACACATACATATGCATACGTATATACGTATATATGTGTATATATGTGTAATATGTATATATGTGTATGTGTGTGTGTGTGTGTGTGTGTGTGTGTATATATATATATATATATATATATATATATATATATATACTTGCCTATTACTTGGTGTTTTCAGAAAGGCAGTTAAATATAATGTACCATCATTATCAAACAGGGTCCAGCAGAAGAAAAATAAATTCTAAAAATTTAACACTATCCTAACAATCAAGTGTAAATGAGACCTCAAAATGTCTTTGTAATATGCAGTTTGGAAGCAATTACACTTAATTCTCTCATACACAATTACTAGTCATCACTATGATGACATTTTCTTTTTGAAGGTAACAATATGTAGTTATGATTATAAGTTAAGTGTAACTTTTAAAATTCAGATTAGTATGTACAAATACAAACCACACGTGCATGTGTGTGTGCACACTTTATATACATATAGACATGCATGAAGCTATGACTATATATAAAAAGAGACTATATGAAGACTATATATTAGGTGGTGCAAAAATAATTAGGTGGTGCAAAAGCAATGGCAAAAACTGAAATTACTTTTGCATTGCCTTATACATAGTTTGCCATAACTTTATGATTTTTCAATATTTATAATTTAAAAAAGACAAAAGCGATTAGCTTCTTATTGCCATTTGTGCAGTGCAATGTCTATATATATGTATATATATAGTCAATATATTATATATATAGTCATAGGTTTATGTATGTCATGGTATCACGCCATTAGGGAAGAAAAACAATCAAAGCATTTATGAATTAATCTTAGATTATTTCTAGACAGAGTTTACTCACTGGAAAGGGATTTCCTAATAATTGGTTATTGCAAGTAAATGAAATTATTCATAAAAAGAATTGTTCTGATGAAGAGTATCCTTTATATATTTTTTTGCTTTTCTTGAGAAGACATCTCAGACTCCACCACTGTGTAATATATCCATGTAGCAATCTATGCTCGTACCCTTTGAAGCTATAAAAACAAAACATAACATGCTTATGAGTTGATGTCAGGATTTTCTTTTTCCACTTCTAATTTGAGCACTTTTGTCCATTGTTTTTTGTTCGAATTATGTCATGGGTCTTTCAATCAAAATTATTTGAGTGCTTTTTCAACTGCTACTTTATCCCCAGCCAGAGACTATTGCTATTATAAGGGGAGTAGAGATTTGATGAGTGGTAGATATAGCAGCTGTGCCTATATAAAAACATAATATCAGGCCAGGCGTGGTGGCTCATGCCTGTAATCCCAGCACTTTGGGAGGTCAAGGAGGGCAGATCATGAGGTCAGGAGTTTGAGACTAGCCTAACCAACATGGTGAAACCCTGTCTCTACTAAAAATTCAAAAATTAGCTGGGCTTGGTGGTGGGCTCCTGTAGTCCCAGCTGCTCGGGAGGCTGAGGCAGGAGAATCACTTGAACCCGGGAGGCAGAGGATGCGGTGAGCCGAGATCGCGCCACTGCACTCCAGCCTCAACGACAGAGTGAGACTACGTCTAAAAAAAATGCCACAGCACCTTATATACAAACAGCGTTTGAAAATAAAGATATATTTTTCCAGGTATTATTGGAAGAGAGTGGATTTTAAAAAATCATAAATGATAGAGCGTGAGATGTTCCCAATATATAACTTCTGCTCACATTAAGTGTCTTGGCTCATAGACAAAGGAGGCAGTGTAGATAGCCTGGAATCTATGAGATAAATAAATAGGATGATCATTATATCATTATTAAATGGAAAAGTAAGATTTTATTATAAATTAGTTTTATTTTTGATATTTTAAAAGAAATTTTCACTGCTTGTTATATATGGTATGATCGTTATATACACTGATTATTTAAATGGTTTTTTTTTTTTTTTTTTTTTTGAGATGGAGTCTCGCTCTGTCGCCCAGGCTGTAATGCAGTGGCGCGATTTCGGCTCGGCTCACTGCAAGCTCCGCCTCCTGGGTTCACGCCATTCTCCTGCCACAGCCTCCGGAGTAGCTGGGACTACAGGTGCCCGCCACCACGCCCGGCTAATTTTTTTTGTATTTTTAGTAGAGACGGGGCTTCACCGTGTTAACCAGGATGGTCTCGATCTCCTGACCTCATGATCCGCCCTCTTCTGCCTCCCAAAGTGTTGGGATTACAGGCATGAGCCACTGTGCCCCGCCAAACAAACACATTTTATTGTAGAAAAAGATTTTAAAACATAATAATGTTTCAAAATCAAAGTCTGAAATTAAGTTGTAGTTAACATTAATGGAAAATGTGTGAAAAGTATACAGAAATTATCTGCAGTAGTTTTTTTAACTTTTATTACATCTAAACTTATTTCAGATAAAATTTTTATTTTTAAAAAGTTACAGTGTGGTTCCAAGCATAATTTTCCCAAGTTGTTTCATAAAGGTGAATCCTCTCTTCTGGCATCTCTTACTTTATGTTTATATTTTCAACTATGTCCTAGAAGAGAATAAAGTTACTCTCCTACTCTAGGTCAAACTACTACTTTTTCCAGCCCCAGAAGATGTTTTCATTCCTACATACAGGAATGCTGCCAAGCCCAGTGAGGAGAGTCATTCACTTTGGCCACCAAATTGGCTGAATTTATCCTGGTCGTAAAAAGAGGGTGAGGAAGGGTTTTTACATCCTCTGAAAATTCTTAATAAAGCCTCTTGCAATATAATGTATTTTACATAAGTTGTCTAGCAATTCAGTCATTTGAAGAAAAGAAACATGTATTAAGCACCTTTTAAGTGAGGGACACTCTTTTAAATGGTGTCGATAGCAAGATAATTTGCAATGACCTTGATGTTGAGATAATTAACAGCCTATTCCTTCAAACACACATCACCTAAAAAAGTAGGGGTACATAAGCAGATAGTTAAAATACAAAAAAAAGTGTGTTCATATGTGTTTATATAAAAATGCAAATAATAACCATAAATATAAAAAAGAAAATAACTGTATATAAAGGGAAAGAAGGGATAAGAAGTGACTTCTTGAATATTTATTTTTATAAGTTTTGCTTTTAAGTCTGTTAAATATTTTATATATTTACAATTATTGAATTTAAACTATCCAAAGACTTAAAAAATGAAAGGAAACAACAAAACTAAATATGGATCTAGTTGGCAGTATATTTGTACAAAGTAGGAGTGCTTTAAGTAATTTTTAAAATAGTAATTTGAATGTATACCCATCGAGGGATTCCAAAAATGATGGAAAAAACCTGAAAAAACAAAAATTAGCATCAATATTTTAAAATTAGAAAATAAAACTCAGCTATATTGAGATATAACAAAAATGAACAGTTACGTGAAATAGTAAATCTATAATTTTTGATGCTGTTGAGAGCATAATTTTTAAACATGGAGGAAAATATATGTTAAGATCAAAGAAGTCGACATACTATTTAGTAATAAAATTAGTAATAAATTGGAATTATCAGTGTATGCTCATGTATTTTATCTTTAAATAAAATAATAGTTCATTTATGGATAAAGGATAAAATAAGTGATCAACCAAATAGCAAACAGAACACCAAACATTCAGATTACGGCCTTTAGATAAGGATTTTCACCAAATGAAAAAGGGGCTCCCTGGAAATGTATAAGACCACAAGGAAGTTGCCAAAAACTACTAGCCAGGTATAAAACGGGCTTGACAGCCAATTTGAAAAGACAATATTGCAATAGTAACCAAATAGCAGATGGGAAAATTCTTCTTACAGCATATTTCAGCCTATAAAGGAGGAAGGAATATTATAGTAGTAATGTCAGCATTACACAAACTTTAATGAATTGATCTATCATTAGTCATCAACAGCAGCTAACTTAACAAAAAGAAAGATGATCAGGAGTCATGTCACTCTTATTGGAAACAAAAGACTGTCTACTGAAGGAGACTTGCCAGAAAAATAAAAAATGGAAAAATGTGATCAAGCTTCTAGGTGAGATACAAGCACAAGTACAATTTACAGGAAACAGAGAGGTCAGACAATTGGTAGCTTTCCATGTGTGAGAGTGAAATTTTGAGCATATGAAAAAATAATCTTTACCTTTTAGTGATGTGAACTAATATATTTGTAGAAGAAATGACATCTGTGGCTTACTTCAGATATTATAAGAGGCAAAGTCTCTGGAGGTAGAGATAAACCAAAATTAGCAATGAGTTTGTAATTATTGAACCCACATGATGGGGACATGGGTTTTCATTATACAATTTTGTTTACTGATATATGCATGATATTTTTCAGAAAAGTAGCAAAAACAATTAGTGGCATTCTGCATAGGATGAAGTGAATGTTATGCAATGGTAACATTATTGTTGTTGCATAAACTGTAACTGTTGTAAGCATAATTGTACTCCAATCCTAGAATTTTTAAATTCATTACCTATTTCAGACACATAATATCAAGAGTGGACTAGAATTTAACTAAAACATACCTTTTGGAAGGAAATTTTACTTTAGATAATGTGTTAGAATATAGAAGCCTTTAAAATAAACTACATTTATTTATTCACTTCAAAAACATAATTTATTGTTAAACAAAACCTATAACCTTAACTTTAGGAAGACTTGAACATGATTTTTTTTTAATTTAAATTATTTTATGACAAGTTCGACAACTCCTTCAACTTGGTTTTATTGTAAGTTATCAGAGCTAGGTGAGTGTTAGAAGGGTGTCATTTTTTTTCCTTACTGAAAAAAACTGAGCCAAATAACTTATTCTGGTAATACTGATTTCTATCCCTTTGAATCTCCTCTCTATTCTACCAATATATGATAGAATGTTTTCACATCTTGTTTAAAATCAAGACTATTTGTTATCTGATTTTAGATTTAAAAAACCAATACAGAATGCAGATACTCTCTTATGTGGTTGATGGATTCAAATAGAAATTTCAGAGACAGTTCCAACACTATTTGGTGAAAACAAGATTATAGATATCAAGGACTTTGGTTTTCATGCTTCACTTTTGCCTATTTTAATTATACATTTTGAAAGTTCTCCATTTCCCTTTGTTGTAAGCAGAATTAATAACTCTCTCATAGAAAGTGCCCACTTCCAATTATGAATGCCCTGCTTGGGTCACAAAATACTTATATTGCTCATTTAATCATGTCCTGGATGTTAGAGATGTTGGAGATGTTTTAGGTGCAAGTATTTACTCTATGGTATAAGACCCATTTTCTAATTGTTTGAATGTAAGATCACATCAATATCTTGTCTGTATTTTCAAGAGAAAGAAAGGAAAAGCAAGTTGTGTATACCTTAAACAAGGTTAACATGGCCTCCATTTCTTGACTGAACTAATTCAACATAAAATATCCCATATCATCTTGGAGAATATTCTTAGATTACAAAGAGTTCAGGTTAAAATACAAACCCTGTTTTATGTATGCAAAACACCAGGAAGGAACCATTGTGGTGGTCAAGTGTTAATTAAAAGATTTGTATTTGGGATAGCGGGTCTACTAGATATAGAGGAAGTGCCAGTCTTTTCTCTTGCTAAAAGTTTGGAGAACTATTTTCCAAAGCGAATAAACTTCTCAGAAAAGGCTCTTGTTTTTAATGGAGAAAAATATTGAAATAGAGCAGAGATTGAGACAACTCTTGACCTCCCAATAGACGTGTGGGAAGTAAGAGAAGGTAAAAATCAAAGACTCAATCAAACTAAACTTTCTTTACTTTGATGGGTGTAAAAGGTCTCCACCTAGCCTTCTTCTCTGGTCCTTGCCCTTGCATTTTTTTTCAAAGCTTGAACTTCAAAATGGCTGTACTGCAAACCTCTCGTAGGACAAAGAAGTTTATTTAGTAGGTAGACTTGCACATGTGCAGAGGAAACCTTGTCAGCTTCCTGTACTAATGAACTGATAATCACTAAGGATTATTATATATTTAAGAAATATAACAACACAAAATGAGACAAAATTAACCTTCAGAAAATCTTACTTAAGGTTAAATATAAATAATTTAGTTACCAAAAAACCTTAATAGATTATAATTAGATGGGCTCCAAAGATATTCAAATGATGGTAAGCACTATGTAATTTAAAATATTAAACAAGTACATGTTTCTATGAAAAAGGAAGCCATCTAATAAAAAGAAAGTTACTACAAATACATATGACTAGTTAAATTAGAAAACCTAAAATTACCCTAAAAGCACATATTAGAATCTATATGAATAATAAATAAAACAGTTACATACATGATAACATTAAGGAAATGTTTCATAATTTAGAACAGAAAAAAAAGTAATTTTTTTTTCTTTTTTTGAGACAGAGTTTGGCTTTGTTGCCCAGGCTGAGTGCCTTGGTAAGATCTTGGCTCACTGCAACCTCTGCCTCCTGGGTTCAAACAATTCTCATGCTTCAACCTCCTGAATAGCTGGATTACAGGCACCTACCACCACGCCTGGCTGATTTTTCATATTTTAGTAGAGACAGTGTTTCACTATGTTGCCCAGGCTGGTCTCAAACTCCTGAGCTCAGGAAATCTGCCTGTCTGGGTCTCCCGAAGTGCTAGGATTACAGGCGTGAGCCACCGCGCCCGGCTGAAAAGTAATTTTTATTTTTTTAATTTTTATTTATTTATTTTTGTTGTTGGAAAACGTTTGTCTAGAGCAGTGGTCTCCAAACTCAAGAGAAAGCTCCCTTATCACTAAAAGAAACTTAAGAAAAGTAATTTTTAAATTGTGAAAATAAGGTCGGGAGTGGTGGCTCATGTCTGTAATCCCGGCACTTTGGGAGGCCAAGGTGGGAGAATCATTTGAGGTCAGAAGTTCAAGACCAGCCTGGCCAACATGGCAAAACTCAGTAGCTACTAAAAATACAAACATTAGCCAGGCATGGTGGCCATGCCTGTGGTCCAAGCTACTTGACAGGCTGAAGTGTGAGCATTGCTTGAACCCTGGAGGCAGAGGCTGCAGTGAGCCGAGATCACGGTACTGCACTCCAGTCTGGGCAACAGAGCAAGACTCTTGTCTCAAAAAAAAAAAAAAAAAAAAATTGTGAGAAAGCATAGATACAATAAATGACAATACAAGGCAACAGGAGAATAAAGAAAAAGACAAATTTGAGCCTCTGAACAATAGAGATAGAAACACTGGGTAAAACAAAGAACAGGATAATTTTTTAAGTGGCACACACACATACAAACACAAACACATACACATATATATTCTCACATACACAAACAACTTCCTATCATAGGATTAACCTCAAAAGAAGAACCTCAAAAGCTAATTTTTCAAAAGGATAGGCTAAATACAATCTATAAATTTAACTTCAGCCCTAGATCTTTGAAATGCCTAGAATACTATTATTAATTTATAATTGTACTAGAATATAAGAAGGAAAAATGACCTTAGATAATAGTATAAATGATCATATAAGAGTAATAGGCAAGATGTGATTAAATAAATTGAACTCAACACAGTCTAGACATAGGCAAAGCTGTGCTAGAAGCAGTGGACTTGACCAACAATGCTTTACAAATTAGGATGAAAGATTCTGACATCTGGAGAGGACTCATTAGGAAAGTCAGAGTAGTGTCCCATGAAGCTCCACACAGCCACCTTTGCATTGGACAGAAATTCCCACAGTTACCTCTAGATCAAACCCTGAATATACAAGCCTGGGTCAGAAAAAAAAAAAAAGGCAGTTCCCTGGGAATCTGATAATAGCCATAAGTGATAGGAAGCATCCGTAGCTAGGACTGATACTGAATCATCAAGGAGGCAGGAGTTCTTACTTTTATCCACTCTTACAAAAAACAGACTGAATAACCCCCAATCCCATCAATCCACCATAGCCTCTTCCCTTTAAGTACACTATGAAAAAAACAAAAAAAAAAAAAGAAAGAAAACTAAGCCAACAAAGAGAAAATTTCAAGACCATTTTAAAATACACAATCAAGAATCAACAATCTTTTCAGATAAGGCACTGCTTATTTTAGAATTAAATGCAAACATAATAGAGATTATGAAAATTTTAAGTGATTATTTAAATCTCAATAGGAAAACTAAACATTTATAATAGATGCATATTAAAAGTATATAAATGAGCTATAAAATAAAAATAGATATCACAATAGCTGTAACACCAAAGAATTAATAGATAAAATTCACAATATACAACCTGAGACATTTATTCTACATAACCCAAATCCTTCTAATAGAAGTATTTGTAGGTTTAAAGCATTCTGTTATATTGACTACATTATAACAAGAGACCCCACTGAGAAAACTAGGATGGCTTTGCATACTACATCAAATTAGTTGACAAAAGCTGGATGGCAATGGAAAGAAAAAAATGTAATTTTCTCTTGAGGACTAACTGGGTTACACTCAACAAAGACATTCCATAAACCACTAAACTGGTTCTGTGCATAACAAGGCAAAAAAGAAATCCTTAGCTTTTGATTTATTTTCTTTTTTTGGTATATTAGAGACATTGCATGTCACATCTAGAGAGGTAACTAAAGTATTTTTATCAAACAGTCAAATTTGAATGGAGAGCTTTACAGCAAGAATCCTTGGAAAAAGTTTAGGAAGCAGGAAAACAAGTTCTGTCCTGGGACTCCTCTCTTTTTCAGAAGCAGTAGAATGTGATGTATCTGTGAAAATGGCAGAGCTCATTGGAACCACTGAGCACAAGAATAAAACAAATATGTGTAGCCTCTGACTTTTGAACTTGAGTTCTTCTGCCTGATGGTAAAGAACAACTGCTAGTTCATTACTGGAGAATAGTGAATCAAATTGTTTCATTAAAAAGGGATTGATGACTTTGCCAAATGACAGTCATTTCCCATAATGGTTCTATGATCATCAGAAAGTTCCTTTGATAAATGGAAATGGCATTTCTCATCATGGACCACACTTGATATTTGAGGTCTTGACCAATTTCACAAGCAAAGCTGTCAACTCATCTGAACAGTTCTGCTTTTGGCTGCACCTACACTTCTGTCTCAATGTGGATCTCTACTTAAGATTTGATATCTGAAAAAAATAATTTAAGTCACTATTGACATGACTCATGTCTTAGTTAGGACACATGAACCAAATAAATGCTACAGCTATACACTCTGATCGTAAAAAAATTGTAGATAGTTTATAGCACTAAAAATGCTCACAAATATCTTACCTTCTAAACAGATTCTGTTTAGAATCTGTTTAGAATCTGTTATTCTTTTTAAAAAGTGATCAGTCCATTTCAGGATGGTTTGTACTATGGGCAAGATCTGTGAATGATCTGTTTAGAAACATAAGGTATCCGAAATTACGAACAAGAACAACAACAAAAGTCTGTGTAATAACATACCAGGATTATCTATGTAGATAATATGCTCTGGGATTTCAGAGGAGGGAAAAAGGCAAACCTAGGTTTGTGAGTAGAGCTTGAGTGAATTTACTTACGCAGGAAAGGAAGAGAGAGATCATATTAGGAAAGCTAAGAAAATACCATGAGCAAAGGCACAGAGGAAGGCACCATGATGCCAGAGAAAAGAGCTAAGAACCTGGTGATAGAATACTTAAGAGTTCTGGCTGAGTGACCTTCTGTGTCCTAATCTTCTGTATGAGAAGTTCATCTTCTTTGTCATTGGGAATATCTTGGGGTGGGACACAACAAATGTTTTGGGTGATACATCAGTTAAGATAAGAGAGAGAAAACCCAATTCAGCTTAAGAAAAAAAAAAAGAAATACATTGTTTACTGAACTGAAAAGATAGAGGGTCACTTTTCATAGGTGTTTTGATCCAGGGACTCATAAAATTCCACCTGGATCTGGTTGTCCTCCATCCCTCAGCTCTTCTCTCCTTCATAGTTGGTTTCAATATCAGCTTCCATATGATGGCTGCTAGTACCACCAGGACTCCATCTTCTGAGGCTCAAATGTAGCGGAAAAAAGACTACCTCTTTCCTTCAGCAGATCCAACCACGTAGAATAGCATCTTATTAGTCCTCATTGGGTTACTCACGTATCCCAAGGGAATGTGACACTCAGTAGGCAGGCCTGAGTCATGAACTAGAGATGGAATTAATTCTACTTGGAGCACATGGATTGAGAGAAGAAGAGGGAATAGATGAAATGTTTCCCAGATGAAGTATTATATTTGATTACTTAAAAAAGAGGTAGTTGGGTTCTGGCAGCCAAAATGGCAGAGTCTGCTGTGAGAGAAGAGAAGTTAATATATGGACAGATATTAAAGCCAGATGAGTCATTTCACATCTTGGGCAAAAGTCTCAGTCTTCGGACAACTTGATATTCATATCTGTAATGGTGCCTACCAATAGTATTACTTGGAGGACCAAGAGACCTAATGAGTGGGAAAATGCTTTGTAAATTACAAAGTACTATAAAATCATAAGGTGTCTGCATGTTACATGAATAAAAATAAACATACAAGAAAATAAAAAAAGAATAACAGAATAGGCAAGCCATTGGATTCTATGTAATTGACTCAATAAAGACTTCTTCCCCATATAGGACAACCCTCCCAAAACTTAATCATGAGCTTAATATTTATGATACTCATGTGCATGTTCATATGAAGTTACCACATATAAAGGAAACCACCTAGAATGAAAATGTTGATGAAGCACTTATGAATATAGTGTCTCCTATTTAAAAGAGCTGTATAAGTAATCATTCAAACTGAACACTTTTCAGAGAAAATGGCAACACTATTATTAATTGTGTGAAAATAGTAGGTGCAAACTAGGACTGCTTTTGGAAAATTGGAATTTAGGTCACCCTTACTGTAGCTTACAGAATCCCTGTGGAAACACTTACAGAGAAAAAAACCATCATAAGAGATTGAGATGTACTAAATGAAATGTTTCCACTAACAAGGGAACTACTGTGACTTTCTTTCAGACAAAGCCTAAGAAAGAATTCACAGACCCTTTGAAAGAAGCAGCAGGCTACAGCCTGCTCTGTGAGAAAGGCAGAAAACTCTTAAGTTTCCAGAGAGTGAGATGGGATGAGCCTACCTCTGAGCACACATCCTCACCAAGGAATCTGAAAATCCAGAGCACAGGAGAAGGCCATAACAACCTACCCACAGCTGGGTTGAATTTAGAGGGCATCTTGAAATATAAAAGTAGAAGCAGCAGCAGGAAGTGCCTTGTAGGCATTCCCAGCCTCCAGCAAGAGTCCAGGGAAACCATTCCTGACTATGTCTCACAACAGTCTTTGAGGAAGTCAGCCAACAAGCTTAGGGAGGGGTTGCAGGGTGAAAGAAGCTCCCAGCTGAATTTTGTGATATAATTTTGAGTAGTGAATTAGCCCATTCTCACATTACTATAAAAAACTGCCTGAGATTGGGTAATTTACTGAAAAAAGAGGTTTCATTAACTCATATTTCCACATGGCTGGGAAAGCCTCAGGAAACTTACAATCATGGCAGAAGGGAAATTGAAAGCAAGGACCCTCTTCACATGGCAGCAGGTAAGAGAAGTGAAAAGAAGAAACTTCCAAACACTAGTAAAACCATCGGAACTCATGAGAACTCACTATCACAAGAACAGCATGGGGAAACCGCTCACATGATTCCATCACCTCTCTCCCTCGACACGTGGGGATTACAGGACCCTCCCTCAACACAGGAGGATTACAATTTGAGATGATATTTGGGTGGGGACACAGGGCCAAACCACAAGTGGAGACAAACTCCCTTGAACAGAATCGAGGGCAAGTGGGAAGTGTGCTGCAAACATGAATGAGCGCAGGAGCTGGGTGCCCAGGCTTGCTGGCAGACACAGAGATCCCTGCTTGCTGTCCCTGTGGGGAAGTTGATGGCCTGGGGCAGGTCAGAACTCTATGTACAGGCTGTGCCTGGATCTAAACCCTATCTCCTTAGACCACAGTGGAATAAAACTGGAAACCAATTCCAAAAGGAATGCTCAAAACTACACAAATATATGGAAATTAAATAATCTGTTCTTGAATGAATTTTGAGTTGATAATGATTTTAAAATGTAAATTTAAAAATTATTTGAAATGAAGAGTAATAAACAAATACTGATTAAGTTATCAAAAAAATCTGGGAAACAGCAGAAGTGGTGCTAAAAGGAAGTTCACAGCATTAACTGCCTATGTCAAAAAGTCTGAAAGAGCACAAATTGAAAACTTTATGTCACACCTCAAGGAACTAGAGAAATAAGAACAATCTAAAGCCAAACTAACCAGAATAAAAGAAATAACAAAAATCAGAGCAAAACTGAATGAGATTGAAACAAACAAACAAAAAGATAAATGACACAACAAGCTGGTTCTTTGAAATGATAAATAAAATTGATAAACTGTTAATGAGTTTAACTAAGAAAAGAAGAGAGAAGATCAAAATAAGCTCAATTAGAATGAAAATGGGAGACATTACAATTGATATTACAGAAATATGAAAAATCATCCAAGGCCACTATGAACACCTTTATACGCACAAACTGGAAAATCTAGAGAAGATGGATAAATTCCTGGGAATGTACAACCCTATATTGAATCAGGAAGAAATAAATACCCAGAACAGACCAATAACAAGCAGCAAAATTAAGTCAGCAATTTAAAAAATTGCCAACAAAACAAAGCCCAGGGAATATACAACCTCCTATATTGAATCAGGAAGAAATAAATACCCAGAACAGACCAATAGCAAGCACCAAAATTAAGTCAGCAATTTTAAAAATTGCCAACAAAACAAAGCCCAGGCAGGATCTGACAGATTTATAGATGAATTCTATCAGATATTGAAAGAAGAATTGGTACTAATCCTACTGAAACTGTTCCAAACGATAGGAAAAGTGGGAATCCTCCCTAAATCATTCTAACAAGCCAGCATCACCCTCATACCAAAATTAGGAAAGGACATAACAACAAGAACTAAAAAGAAACCTACAGACCAATGTCTTTGATGAACATAGATGCATAAATCCTCAAAGAAATATTAGCTAACTGAATCTGATTCCAACAGCATCTCCAAAAGATAATATACATCATGATCAAGTGGGTTTCATACCAGGGATGTAGGAATGGTTTAATGCATGAAAGTCAATAAATGAGATACATTAAGTGAACAAAATTAAAAACAAAAACTATATGATGCAGAAAAATCATTTGTTAAAATCCAGCATTGGCCGGGCGCGGTGGCTCACGCCTGTAATCCGAGTACTTTGGGAGGCCGAGGTGGGTGGATCACGAAGTCAGGAGATCGAGACCATCCTGGCTAACACGGTGAAACCCCGTCTCTACTAAAAATACAAAAAATTAGCTGGGCTTCGTGGTGGGCGCCTGTAGTCCCAGCTACTCGGGAGGCTGAGGCAGAAGAATGGTGTGAACCCGGGAGGGGGAGCTTGCAGTGAGTCGAGATCGCCCCACTGCACTCCAGCCTGGGCAGCAGAGTGAGACTCCGTCTCAAAAAATAAATAAATAAATAAAAATAAAAAAATAAAAAAATGCAGCATTGCTTTATGATTAAAAACCATAACAAAATAGACAGAATAGACTTACGTCAAAGTAATAAAAACCATGTATGACAAACACACAGTCAACATCATACTGCATGGGGAAAAGTTGAAAACATTCTCCCTGAGAACTGAAACAAGACAAAGATGCCCACGTTCCCCACTTCTATTCAACATAGTGCTAGAAGCTCTGGCCGGAGCAGTCAGACAAGGGAAAGAAAAAAAAGGGTATCCAAATTGACAGAGAAAGTCAAACTGTCATTGTTCACTGATGGTATGATCATATACCTAGAAAACTATAAAGACTCATCTAAGAAGCTCCTAATTCTGATAAACAAGTTAAGTAAAGTCTCAGGATACAAAATCAATGTACACAAATTAGTAGTACTGCTATACAACAATAACCATGCTGAGAATCAAATCAAGAACTCAAATTTCTAAATATACTTCTTTAGAAATATACTTAGCCAAGGTTTGAAAGATCGCTGTAAGGAAAACTACTAAACAGTGTTCAAAGAAATAATAGATGACACAAATGGAAACACATCCCATGTTCGTGAATGGAAAGTATCAATATTGTGAAAATGACCATACTGCCCAAAGCAATCTACTGATTCAACGCAATTCCTGTTAAAATATTATCATGATTCTTCACTGAACTAGAAAAAAAAATTCTAAAATTCATATGGAACCAAACAAGAGCCCACATAGCCAAAGTAATACTAATTGAAAAGAACAAATCTAGAGGCATCACATTACCCAACTTCAAATTATACTACAAGGCTATAGTTAAAAACACAAGATGGTACTGGTATAAATATAGGCATGTTGACTAATGGGACAAAAGAGAGGACTCAGAAATAAAGCCAAATACTAATAGCTAACTGATTTTTGACAAAGCATACAAAAACATAAAGTGGGGAAAAGATAACCCCTTTAATAAATGGTGCTGGGAAAACTGGCAAGGACATGTAGAAGAATGAAACTGGATCCTCATCCCTCTTCTTATCCAAAAATCAACTTGAGATTGATCAAAGACCTAAATCTAAGACCTGAAACCATAAAAATTCTAGAATACGGCCAGGCATGGTGGCTTATGCCTGAATTCCCAGCACTTGGGGAGGCCAAGGAGGGAGGATCATGAAGTCAAGAGATTGAGAACATCCTGGCCAACATGGAGAAACCCCGTCTCTACTAAAAATACAAAAATTAGCTGGGCATGGTGGCATATCCCTGTAGTCCCAGCTACTCGGGAGGCTGAGGCAGGAGAATCACTTGAACCTGGGAGGCAGAGGTTGCAGTGAGCCGAGATCACGCCACTGCACTTTGGCCTGGTGACAAGGTGAGACTTGGTTTCAAAAAAAAAAAAAAAGTTCTAGACTAAACATCAGAAAAGCTCTTCTAGACATTGGCTTAGGCAGAGAATTCATGACTGAGATTCCACAAACAAATGCAGCAAAACCAAAAATAAATAAATGGGACCTCATTAAACTAAAAAGCTTCTGCACAGCAAAAGAAATAATCAGCAGAATAAACAGACAACCCACAAAGTGGGAGAAAATATTTGCAAACTATGCATCTAACAAAGGACTAATATCCAGAATCTACAAGGAACTCAAACAAATCAGCAAGAGAAAAACAAATAATCCTATCAAAAAGTGGGCAAAGGACGAGAATAGATAATTCTCAAAAGATGAAATACAAATAGCCAAGAAACATATGAAAGAGGGCCAACATCACCAATTATCAGAGAAATGCAAATTTAAACCTCAATGAGATACCACTTAACTCCTGCAAGAATGGCCATAATTAAAAAGTTGAAAAACAGTAGATGTCGGCATGTATGTGGTGAAAAGGGAACACTTTCACACTGCTGACAGGAATATAATCTAGTACAACCACTATGGAAAACAGTGTGGAGATTCATTAAGAATCAAAAAGAAGATCTACATTTCAATACAGCAGTTCCACTACTGGACATCTACTCAAAGGAAAAGAAATCTTATATGCACAAGACACATGCACATACACGTTCAGAGCAGCACAATTCGTAATTGCAAAGATATGGCGGAGCTTGCAGTGAGCCAAGATCACGCCACTGGGCGACAGAGTGAGACTCCGTCTCAAAAAAAAAAAAAAAAAGATATGGAAACAACCTAAATACTCATCCACCAATGAGCAGATAAAGAAAATGGCCGGGCGTGGTGGCTCACGCCTGTAATCCCAACACTTTTGGAGGTCGAGGCAGGTGGATCACGAGGCCAGGAGACAGAGACCATCCTGGCCAAGATGGTGAAACTTCATCTCTACTAAAATACAAAAAAAATTAGCCAGGAATGGTGGTGCACGTCTGTAGTCCCAGCTACTTGGGAGGCTGAGGCAGGAGAATCGCTGGAACCTGGGAAGCAGAGGTTGCAGTTAGCCGAGATTGCGCCACAGCACTCCAGCCTGGTGACAAAGCCAGACTCTGTCTCGAAAACAAACAAACAAACAAAAACAAAATGTGGTATATATACACCATGGAATACTACTCAGCCATAAAAAGGAACTAAATAATACCTTTTGCAGTGACTTGGATGGAGCTCAAGGCCATTATTCTAAGCCAAGTAACTCAGGAGTGGTAAATCACATGTGGTATGTTCTCATTTATAAGTGGGAGCTTAGCTGTAAGGATGCAAAGGCATAAGAACGATGGACTTCAGGGACTGAAGGGGGATGGTTGAGGGGGTGAGGGATAAAAGACTATATATTGGGTACAGTGTACACTGCTTAGGTGACGAGTACATTAATATCTCAGAAATCATCACTAAAGAACTTATCCTTGCTGGGAATGGTGGCTCACACATGTAATTCCAAGCACTTTGGGAGGCCAAGGCGGGCTGACCACTTGAGTTCAGGAGTTTGAGACCAGCCTAGCCATGGTGAAACCCATCTCTAAAAAACAAAAAACAAAAAACAAAAAAAAGCACACCAAAAAAAAAAAAAAATTAGGTGTGGTGGCATGCAGCTGAGGTCCTAGCTACTCAGGGACTGAGATGGGAAGATTGTTTGATCCTAGGAGGTGGAGGTTGAATGAGCCAAGCTTGTGTCAGCCTGAGTGACAGAGGAAGACCCTGTCTCAAAAAAAAAAGAAAAAGAAAAGAATATATTTATGTAACTATATTAGTCCGTTTTCACACTGCTTATAAAGAGATACCTAAGAATGGGTATCTTAACTCTTACTCATTTTAAAATATCAAAAAGAAAAGCAAAAAAAATTTAATGGACTCACAGTTCCACGTGGCCATGCAGGCCTCAGAATCATGGTGGAAGGTGAAAGTCACGTCTTTCATAATGGCAAGCAAGAGAAAATGAGATAGCTTGTGCAGGGAAACTCCCCCTTATAAAACCTTCAGATCTCAAGTGAGACTTATTCATTATCACAAGAGCAGTATGGGAAAGACCCGCCCCCATGATTTGATTACCTCTCACTAGGTCCCTCCCATGACATGTGGAAATTGTGGAAGCTACAATTCAAGATGAGATTTGGGTGGGGACACAGCCAAACCATACTAGTAACCAAAAATGGCCTGTACCCCAAAAATTATTAAAATAAAAATAAAATTTAATAAAGAATTTTTTTTAAAAACGGTTCACTGGTCAGGCTGCTGGATGTATTTATAAGTTGCATGGGGCCTTAAGCCCCTCTATCTTGGCTTAGCAGCTACTAATGTGTCATGGAATAAGGAAAGGGACAACTGAGGAAGAAAGAACAAGCCTTCCCATAACACTTGTGGGCCTTACATCAAGAGAAAAATCAGGATCACACCTGCCATAATCTATGTATTGATTTAAAAAAATAGATTCAACAAACAAATAAAATCTTTGACAAATATGCCTTCAGAGAGACAGAATTGTTTTTAAAGTGTCTTATATAATTGAAAGTAGACAAAAATAATCTTAACTCTTACTCATTTTAAAATATCAAAAAGATAAAAAATTTATTCACAGTACTCTAAATTTATATATAGTTTTAATAAACAGAATGTTAAAGTAAAATATATTTTCATTTGTAACAAAGATTTTTTAAGACATTCAAAGTTTGCATAAGTTTTAAAACATGTATGCATTGTGCTTAATAAATATAAAAATATAAACTATTTGAATAAAGGTTATTTTATTCAGTATTTAAAATGTAAAATTTAAATTTTATTAAATGTTTAGATCTAGTGAAATTTTTACAATTTACAGTTCTATCTAGTTACCCATGTAAAGAATTTTATCCCACTTAATCTTTGCTATATCTAGATCTATGTCTGGAACCACAAATTAGAGAGAAAAGAAAAGAAAGTTGATAAATATTAAGCACTATTGGAACATACTCAATTATGAAATAACCAATGGCAAATAAGATATCTGAGAAGGATTTGAAAAGTTAATAATGCTGTCCTTCCTCCTACCTAAACCCTTCTGGCTCAAGTTATTTCTGCACTATGAAAGAGTGTACATCTCTGACATCAGCACTGAGAGGAATAGATATTCAAATTTATCAAGAGCTTTTTCTGCATATCTTGGGCACACATAATGTTTCTATTTTATTATGACAATGTGTTGAACTACACTGAATTTTGAATGTTAAATCAGCTTTGCTTTTCTGGAATGCATGTAAATTGGCTGTGATGCACCTTTTTTATATATCATTGGGTTTGTTTTGCCAAGATTCAATTAAGGTATAAATGTATATGTTCATGAGTGATGTTGACCTGTAATTTTCCTTTCTTATAATGCCCTTGCCAGATTTTGATTTCAAAGCTATGCCAAATTCCAAAAAATGAATTAGCAAGTGTTACAGCATTTTCTATTCTCTGAAATAGTTGTGTCATATTGTTGTTCATTTTTCAAGATAATTTGGTAAAATTTACTCATATTTTATTTCTATTTCAGATAAATCTCTTTGGATGCCATTTCCCATATGCATCTTTTGCATTTATGCTCAATTTTCAGGCAGAGGAACTGACTTTATTTTATTTCTAGCTTTCTTTTCAAGGGTATTTCTTCTTTCTTTTTTTTTTTTTTTTTTTTTTTTTTTTTTGAGACGGAGTCTGTCTCTGTCACCCAGGCTGGAGTGCAGCGGCAATATCTCCGCTTACTGCAAGCTCCGCCTCCCGGGTTCACGCCATTCTCCTGCCTCAGCCTCCCGAGTAGCTGGGACTATAGGCGTCCGCCACCACGCCAGGCAAATTTATTTATTTATTTTTTGTATTTTTAGTAGAGACGGGGTTTCACCGTATTAGCCAGGATGGTCTCGATCTCCAGACCTCGTGATCCGCCCGCCTCGGCCTCTCAAAGTGCTGGGATTACAGGCGTGAGCCACTGTGCCTGGCCTTCAAGTGTATTTCTATAGCAGTCAGCCTAGGAAGATGGAGATAATGCATGTCTGGAGTAGAAGGTATTTTGCTGTCCAGAGTAATGGAGACAATAACACATTGAAGGCAACGTTTGAGCAGGTTTGCCAACAGTTCCTTTATAACACTAAGGCTTTTCTAACTCAAGGTACCTTGGTTGTGACACAAGTTAATTGTGTGTAGACAGCTTCCTCCAGGACCATTCTGTATTGCTCCCCGCAGGACTTGGGGAAAGATGAGCCAATGTGAATGAAGCTCATGCTTCTTGCTATGCCATGAAGAATAAAGTCCTGTGTCTCCAACTCCAGAATCTTCTTCCAGAATATATAAAACGGTGGTGGGCTAAATGGTGACCTTTCAAATAAGGTAAGATATCACACACTTTACAGAAACTGGGTAAAATGCAGATTTCTCTAGAGCAGAGAGAATATATGTTGATATTTCCTTGATTTTCAGATACGACAAGGAGTTAAACCTTGAATATTTAAAAACAGTAATTGTCAGACAAAAAGCCTTTTAACAACGGCAAAAAAAATGAATCTTCCAAGTAAAAAGAGAGGAATACTATTTTTAAAATATAACTGGATAGTAAATCACAATAGCTGTGTTCTACTTCTCATTTTCTGCCTGTTGCCTGTGTCGGCTTACTGGGATATAGTATTTTTAATTATAATAACCAAGTTATAACATCATTTTATGATTTACTTAAATAATTCAGTTAAATAACCTATCATAATAATTGTATGCTTTATATTAGATTGTAGTAAGCACTCACAAATTACATGTATCCCAATGTATAATTAAATGAGGTATTAAAAATTGAACATATTTAAATACTTAGGAGCCAGATCGATAAACAGACCCATTAACACTCTAGAATGCCTTTTGATTTCCTGTCCAGTCGATACTATTTCTCAAGGGTAACCGTTTTCCTGACTTCTATCAGCATAGATTAGTTTTTCCTAATGTGTATTTTTGAATCAAAGAAGTTATGTACTTGTTTATACACATTGTTAATTTTTGATTACTATTATGTTTGAAAGATTCATATCGTCATTGTAGTTGCAGATAACTCATACTCAGTACTATATATTCTCCTTTGTGAATATGCCACATTTGTTTCCATTCTACTTTTGTTAGAATATGAGAAGTTTTCAATTTAAAGCTATGGCAATACTACTGATGTGAACATTATAGTACCTGTTTTTGGTAAACATCTGAACTTAATTTTATGAGGTATAAATCCAGAGTAGAATCAATTGGCCCTCAGGCATACACACACACACACGCACACACACACACACACACACACGTGCATGCATATATATATATACACATATACATATATAATTTTAACTTTACCATAGTAAATATTGCCAAAGAACATTTCAAAGAGTCTAGTTGGCTTGGTTTACATTATCATAGGTGTAGAATTTTATTTTAAACAAATTTATACTCTGACACTATGGTAATTCCGGTAGCTCTACCACCTTGCCAACGTTTAGTGCTTTTCATCTTTTTACATTTTAATAATTCTGGAGAGGATGTAGATGTATCGCATTTTGGGAAAAATTTGCATTTCTCTGGCAGCTAATGAAGTCAAACATTTTTTCATGTTTGCTGGCCATCTCCACATTCTCTTATGTGCAGTTTCAAAAGTTTAAAATTTTGCCAGGTTTCCATTGGTTTATCTGGTTTATAAAAGTGATTTATGCATGTTCTTTATACTAAATATGGCTATTATAAAGATTGCCTTCCATTGTGTGGCTTGCATCTCACTACTTGAATATTATTGTCATAGTCTGAAGTGCTTATTTTCAGTATACTCTATCTGCTTTTTTTAATTAGAAAAAGTGCTTTTCTTCTCCTGTTTTCAAAATATTTGTCTACTTCAAGTTCACAATGATTTTGTCCTCTAAAAGCTTTTTAGTTTTAATTCTAATGTTTACATGTTAACTATATATGGAATGTATTACTATGGATGGTGCAAGGTATGGAACATGATTCATTTTTTATATGGATGCCCAATGATACTTCCAGAAAATTTATTGAAAGTACTATCCTTTTCTCATTGCACTGTACTGTTGTCTTAGTTGTAAATTAATTAATCATGTATGTGCTTCTCTTTGGGATTCAATTTTATTCCAATGCTCAGTGTATTTAGGCTTACAGCAATTACAACAATGCCACAATGCCTTATATACTGTAATTTTATAATAAGTCTGGATATCAGGTAGTGTCTGATCTCCCACTTTGTTCTTGTAATTTGCCTTGATTAGTCATAGCCTTTGACATTTCCATATACTTAGAGTTAGATGGTAAATTTTAGCAAATGCTTGTTGGGATTTGATGAAGAATCATGTTAAGTATATTTATTTGGGGGAAAATAAATAATCTTTTTACAATATCAAGTTTTGTAATTCATGAACTTGGTATATCTCTTTGTTTATTAAAATATTTTACTTCTACCAAGAAAGTTGTGTAGTTTCTGAGGTAAATATTTGTATTTTATCAGATATTTTTCTTAATATTTAATTTTTTGAATTATTCATAGTAGCTTTATTTCTGACAGCTGTAAGCTGGACACAAATCATCAGTAGCTGAATAAATAATAAAAATTGTGGTACTTCCATACAATAGAACACTATTTGAATTTAAAAGGAACAAATTAATGATACACACAACAACAGAGATGAGTCACAAACAGTTGCTGAGCAAAGGAACCTAGATAAATAAAAATGTGTATTCTATGATTCCATTTATAGAAAGTTCTAGAACAAGCAAAATCAGTTTATGATGATAGATATCAAATTAATGGCTGCCTGGAGTGGGGAGTGCAAGACAGTAGTGGAATTGACTGCAAAGTGGCAAAAGATAACTTTTTGGAGCAAAAAACGATTCTATATATTTATTGGGGTAGTGGTGACATGGTGCATACATTTGTCAAAACTCATCAAACTGGATAATTTAAATGTTTCAATTTGTTTTATGTAAAGTATATCTCAACTATGTTGATCAAAAATCATAAAATTGGATTCAAGATTTTAAATGTGGAATCAGTGAGCTTTGGCAACAATGAACCAAGTGGGTGAGATGCTGCATATATACGATGGAGTACTATGAAGTCACAATAAAGAATTAAGTTAGGTCCTTTGCAGCAATATGGATGCACTGGAAGGTCATTATCCTAAGTAAACTAACACAGAATCAGAAAGCTATATACCTCCTGTTCTCTCATATAAATTGAAATTAAACCTTGGGTACATGGGGACATAAAGATGGAAACAATAGACACTAATCACTATAAAAAACAAAGGGGGGGGACGAGAAACAGGGGACAAGGTTAGAAAAACTACCTATTTTCTACTGTGCTTATTACCTAGGTGATGGGTTCAATCACACCCCAAGCCTCAGCATCATCCAATGTACCCTTATAACGAACTTGCACACGACTCCCTGAATTTAAAATAAAAATTGAAATTAAAAATAAAATTAATTGCTATGGATGTTCTAGTAATTGGGGAGCACTCTGATTTGACACTTTGCCTCTCCGATTATAGTAAAATACTAAGGTTATGCCATCCAAATCAAATGGTTAATGCAACATGCTTATAATAATTTTTGTGATTTTGCCAATTTTCTCATCTGTATAACAAATTAGATTTTGCAAGTCAGCAAAGCCCGCTGATGTTGTTCCCTATAGGCTGAGATTATTTCACATCAATGTTTAAAACTACTGAAAACTAATCTACTAAATTAGGAGGCAAAAGGGAAAAGGTGTATTTGGCTGTGCTATCCTAGACGGATTTGCATTTTTAATGTTACTGTAAATAGCATCATATTTTATTTTTTTGTTATTGGACTATTTGTTGCTGGTATATAGAAGTAAATTGTTTTTTTTAGAGAGCTTATATCCAGCAACATTACTAAACTTACTTATTAAAAGTTATAATCTATTTAGATTATTTTACATTTTTTAGAAACCCAATCACACTGATTAAAAGGTGCTTTAGTTGTGTTTCAGTTCGTAAGACTTTAATAACCCTTTAAATTTACTTATTTCACTAGTTAGAATGCCCACACAATGGGAAAAAAGAGACAGAAGATCATTATTTCACTGTGAAACTATATATCTTCCATCTACAATTAAAGATTATCTTGTTTCACTATGGTACCTTCAAATTATGTGTGTGTGTTTGCACGTGTGTATATACATATACAACATATATATGTGTGTGTGTGCGTGTGTGCATGTGTATTTGTAATTAATACAATTTTTTCTATTTCTTGCAGGAGGAGCACTGGCCTGCCGTGACCTACTTTATCTACCCAAATGTTGAAGTATCTCTGATAAGTTTTTAAATTGTAAGATATTGCAAATATCATCTCTGGTATGCAGGTAAATATAGGTAAAATACAAATCTATATCTAACATAAGTGGCATTCACTGATGGACTAGTTGATCATCTTTATGATCGGATACTATTAAACCTACTTTTCATCTTCAGTTGCAGAAATTTATAGTTCAACTGTTTCTATATGATTACTCCTTTATTAAGGAATATTTTACAGACTAAAAATTCCACAATGGGGATAAGATGAAAATGAGATCCAATAGTTTTGTTATTGTATAGGATAATCCATGCTGCTGTAAGAGATAACCTACAAGATGTATAATAAATAAAATATAAAAATAGTTTCAACTTTCACAGTCAAAATAAAATTGTACTATTTGACAGGGGTGACTACTTTCCTGGACACAGTTATTCAAGGACCAAGAATGACAGTAGCTCTGTCATCTTAAATTTATAATTATGATTTTTACCATAATTGTCCCGATTTCATTCAGCCAGAAGGAAAGAAGATTACAGAGAAATGCTAAAGAATTTCTTGCACAAAGAAATGCAAAAGAACACAAGCATGAACACATCACTTGTGTTTAAATTTAATTTGGTAGAAATAATTCATATTATTATGTGTAATTGTAAAAAGCCTGAAAAATTGTATCTACTTATGTTCCCAGGAAGAACAGAGAAGCATGTTTTGTTGAGATGTATTATAAAAAAGGCATGTATAAAATTATGGAAAAATATAGCTGCATTTTCCCTAGAAGTTCTGGAAAACATTAAAAGGATAACTGTCTTTTTTTTTTTCCAGGAGATTGAAAGGCAAATAAACTATTCAACTCTATTAACTGAACAAAGGCAGGATGACAAGATTTCAATCAGGTAAAGCAGAAACTTTCCAGTTCAAATGCATGAAATAAAATGGACTGGCATGCAAAGGAGTTTTCAATATAGTATTCTCAGTAGTCAAGGATTTGATATTCAGAGTTTTGGCTCTGTGGGCAAAGGTCAGCAGTAATAAGGTTAAAGCATGAATTTGAGTAATTTTTTTCAGCAAGTTTTAGGTTTGGAAATCTAATGACTTTGCTTTGATATTGTGCATAGTCCCCCAAATTTCAAATTATTTGATTGGGCAGATTGTACATATTTTAATATAATGTTGCATCATTAGACCATACACAAACATTTATACCTCAACTCATTTCTAGAATTTTACCGCCCTGTATTCAAGTAATCGTATCCTCTTTTGGATACAAAAATTTTCTCATTTAGATATCCATACAAATAAATGTAACGAACATTTATCAATTTGCCATTTCATGGCATATTTCCTATACACTGCCATAAGAGGAAATTAAGTTTATTCAGATATGCTTAATAAACTAAAGATGTGGGGACCTGGAGTTTATTAAGTATTAAAAAATATACTTGCCTAATTGTCAAACCATATTTTTTGTTTATACAAGAGCTAAGAGCCTTTTCTAGCAAATTTATAAATCAATATACTTTATAGCAATATTCTATTAAATATCTAATTTATAGAGATGTATTTTACCTAAAAAGCAAATTTGGTGTCAATATGTAAATATATCTAAGAATACTCATACACACAGACACACAAATAATTTTAATTTTGTATTTATGTATATGTAACTGGGCAGCTTTACTTCACGATGCATTTTAAAACTTGTTTTTTCCTTTCTCTTGGGTTTCAACATACAATCTTGAAGTAAACTGCAGAAGCCTTTTCCTTTAGGCTTAAAATAGATTCTACATCCCTCCCTTTCTCACCATTTATACTTCCTTCACATTTATCTGACTGTATGCTAGTATCGAATTATTTGCCTTCCTAGAAGTTCCAGGGGCTAATCTTGAGACAGACAGAACAAGCCTAGAGACTCGGCTGTAAAATACCTGAGATTACTTCAGTGTGGCTAGTCATCAACCTGGACATTGTTGAAATGATGCTAGCCCGAGATCTAAGTCCATATAGGACCCCAAGATAGCCACTAGAACAGGACATATGGTTAATTTGGATGAGAATCTGGCTACTTCCCCATTACTAGTTTTGGTTAATAAAGTCACTTTCTTTCTAATGTATGCCACTCTTGTTCATTAGACTCTGCAAGCGGTGAGGGACTGAACCTGCACTCATTACTATATACAAAAGAATGTTTATAGTAATTCCAAGCACTAGTTTCCCCAAAACAACAGTATAAGCCACGATGCCTATAAATAGTTATCTTCCATTGTTTACAAGTATTGTTTTTTAATGAGTGACAATGTAGTATATTAATATTCAGGAAATGTGTAAGGGTTTGTTACTGCCATATTTTTTCTGTTTTTATCTTTCTAGCAACCGGCAAGTAAAGTAAGAACCCCAGGCATCTGATTTCTAATCCAATTGCATTTTCGTTTTATAATTTTTTTTCTGCTTGCATTTAGAGTATTTTATTTGTTTTTTTTCTTAAATCATATATAATGGTCTTCATCATTATTGCAAATAAATATATACAGGTCATAATAGTCAGTGGACATTTACACCCTTAAGTCACACATACACACACATATTCCACTCTATTGATATAATCACAGTGCTAGTGATCTCACTAGTGATTACTCATGAGAAATATTTGCAGATGAATAGATGGAGCTTCATATATAGATATGGAGATATAGATATATAGATGTTCAACATGGATCTTGATATACAGGTATAGTGCATATATACGGGAGAAATATAGACACACAAACATACAGTTGATCCTTGAACAACATAGGTTTGAACTGCCTGGATCCACATATACATGAATTTTCTGCTGCCTCCGCTGCTCCTGAGAAAGCAAGACCAACTCCTTCTCTTCCTCCTCCTCCTAAGTCCACTAGCCATGAAGACAATGAGTATAAAAATATTTATGATGATCACCTTCACTTAATGAATAGTATATACATATATATAAAACATATATAGTCTTCTATATAGTCTTCTATAGACTCTACATATATATATATAGTCTTCCTCATGACTTTCTTAGTAACATTAGATTTTTGCTATCTTGCTTTATTGTACAATAATGTATATAATACATATAACATACACAATATATGTTAATTGACTGTTAAATGTTATTGATAAGTCTTCTAGTCAACAGTAGGCTATTAGTAGTTAAGTTTTGGGTAAGTCAGAAGTTATAGTGGATTTTCAGCTGCACAGGAGACAATGTACCACCCCTAGTGTTGTTCAAAGGTCAACAGATACCTATATTTATACCTATCCGAGACAAAAATGCAAAAATGGTAAGTATGCCTTTATATGATTACTTCCCCCCCTCCACATACACATACATACATCAGAAAGTCTGTATATTCGTGAAAAATCATGGATTCATCTGCTTTCAACTGCTGGTTCTACTCCTAGAAGATCTGAGATATTCAGGTAACTAAACTCTGAGCTTTCAATTACTTAATCAATAGTCATAATAGTCACTGGACATTTACACCCTTAGTCACACATACACACACATATTCCACTCTATTAATATAATCACAGTGCTAGTGATATCACTAGTGATTACTGGTGAGACATGTTTGCAGATGAATAGGTGAGCATTATATATATACATATAATGTATAGGTGAGCATTATATATATGAATATATATGTTGAATATATATATTCAACATGAATATATATATATTCATATATATTCATATATATGATATATATGAATATATGAATATTCATATATATATGATATATATGAATATATGAATATTCATATATATCAAGATGACTAGGTGAACATTATATATATATGGAGATATTATAGATATATAGATATTCAATATGGAGGTTGATATATAGATATAGTGCATATCTATACCTTATCTTTTACATAGCTGTTTTTACTACAAGGAATATGCAGTGTGGTTCTGGTATCAAGTCCATATTCATGCTCCTAAGCAGAAGTCTTCCATTCCTAATATCACTTGGAGGATTTTATTTCAACTTCATTTTCAGTCATAACTATCCTGTAAGTTATGCCCTACTCCTCCATGTGATCTACTGCTAGAGCAATTGACAATAAAATGGCCATTTGCTTCAATCACTCTCTCTATATTCATTAGGAAAAATGATAGGTCCCTGTAATTCCTCGGTTGACATTTCAGAAGCTTTTTGTTGCTCATCACTTTTAAAAAAATTTCTACTCTAGATATGATCAAACATGTCACAGTGAATTTACTGTCTATCCATTGTGAATGGCCTCACTAGCTCCTTCTAGGTTGTTTCTCACTCAGGTCTCACTCACCATCGGAGTTACCAAGGAGCTGTAAGAGTTTACAAAGGCTGCAAAGTCTTTTGACAATGGAAAAGCAAATTTAACCAAAGTACAACCTGATAAAAAGCCATCTCTGTGTATTCCTCACAAATCACCCCTTGGTTCCAGCAACTAGGGATCTACTGGTTAACCACTTGTACCCATCACATGTAGGGAACAGCAGTTTCATAGTGAGAAAGAATCTCAAATTTTGTATTCATTGACTGTAGCTACCTCAATTATAGTAAAGCCTATGGACAACTGGAGATAGATAATTACAAAGGGTTTGTATTTACAAATAGAGTTCCAATACTTAAAGATCAGTGTTTAATAGGAACTACTTTGAAAGAAACTGCCACAAGTGGATATACGCTAAATTATCCACAAAACTACCAGATGGCTAAAGATGTTTCAATTTTATTTTACAGAATATGAAGTATAAAACTCCAAATGGCACAGCCAAATTTAGAAGGAAAGAGAATACATATTCAAGCCTTTAAAGAAATGCTCAGTCAGTTTTATAGTACCTTGAAATTGATCTTACTCAAACGGATGAACTGAATGTGAAAAAATTCTAATCAAAATTATAAATAGTTCATATTAATAATATTGAATTCCAAACCAGTTTCTCCACCAAAAAATATTGAATCTAACTAAATTTTTCAATAGACATGTTTTGAATTCCATACATTCAGACTACAGAGTACATTTGCTCCAGAATTACTTCTATTCTATTGATCCAGTAAGAAAATAATCAAGTCAGACATGGATTATAGGAGCCTAATTTAAAACCAAGAGATACAGCATGGTGTTGTCATTCCAAAATAACAAATCAGTTGGGATTTTTAGTTAGAAGGTGACAGGAATATTTCCAAGTGAATCAAATGGTAAATTTCTGACATATCCATTACCTGAACTCTTTCACTTAATACATCAATTTTTTGTGTATTAGAAATGATTGTGACTGATCCATGGAGATTTACTTTTATTAGATGTTTTAGTTGTGGGCTTTTTTATTTTTCTTCATGTAACAGGGCTTCTCTACTAGCAGATCCACTGGCTAAATATCCAGTAGTAGTCAGTCATTTTTGTAATTTGACGTGCCCCAGTGGATGTCCAGAAACTCACGTGGAAACAGTAATAAAATAAAGTTCAAGTTTCAAGACTTTGCCATGTTACAGCTAAGTTTCTGATCAAATGTATCTACTCTTCATCTTAGTCCTTATCTCTTCCTCACTGCCACAATGCCCTAATAAGCAGATCTTTGTAACAATAAGCTCATCTTTTGTTTTGGCTCTGTCCATTTATATGAGTCTTTTCTAATGCCATGATCCCCAACTTGTCTCTCTTTTGAGTTTGGTGCCCTTGGTTTTACTGATGCTGTTAACTGATCAATACATTAGTTTAACTGCTCTTGGTTTAAACATAAAACCTTTTTTTTCTTTTTTTGAGATAGAGTCTCACTCTGCCACCCAGACTGGAGGGCTGGAGTGCAATGGTGTGATCTCGGCTCACTGCAACCTCTGCCTCCCAGGTTCAAGCAATCCCCCTGCCTCAACCTCCCGAGTAGCTGAGACTACAGGCATATGCCACCATGCCTGGCTAATTTTTGTATGTTTAGTAGAGATGGGATTTAACCATGTTGGCCAGGCTGATCTTGAACTACTGACCTCAAATGGTCTGCCCCGCTGGGCTTCCCAAAGTACTGGGATTACAGGCATGAGCCACTGCACCAGGCGCAAAAAGTTGTTTTTAATTTCTCCTTCATTTCTAATAAGTAGTATTTTGTCTTAACAAATCTCAACAGTACAGGCAAAACTCACCATGTATGCTTTGATTCTGTTACTTTTCAGTGCTTCACAAAGCAGAAAAATATGTCAAACCATATATTAGAGAATAGGTTTTTTTCTCAGTTTAAAGCCACAGAGCCAGTTTAAAAGGCAGTGTTTTCTCTTAATATGCTTGTGGCAATGTTTTGCTTTTATTTGGAATTTAGGCACCATGAAAAGAAGTCAAGGTATTAGAATCATCTTATTAAAATGACTGCGTAGCATTCTTTGCCAAGCATTTATTTAGGATTTTAAAATGTATAAAGAGATCACTCATGGATTTTACTATGTGTATGCAACTGGAATTTAGTTAAGTTCTTGAGTGTCTAATTTGAGAGAAAATTCTCCCATTAACCTTTAAAATAGGTTTTTTTCTGATACTATAAATATATAATCCACTATGACAGAACATATTTTAAGGCAACATCTCCTTAAGGATATAGCTTACTTTCTTTTCCTATTCCAGGCATTGAAATCTTAAAAAAAGATAAATTAGTGTCTGCTTGGCATAGAATTTAGCATCTGGCTTCCAAAAAATATTTAATAATTGCTCAGTAAGTGTTTGTAGAATAGAAGAATGGAGGTGATTTTCAATGACAAGAAATAACTACTGCAATAATATCAGTAATTGTTGACGTGTATACACAGACAAAACAGTAATTATATCACACACAAAAAACAGATTAACTATATATCATTTATATATAAAGTTGGTTTAATTTTAATGTCCAAGCCCTCAGTAGAGGGACTTAGCAAAATTAATTGCCCAAGTGATATATATTGATTATGTACCTGTGTTTTTTTCTCCTAGTCATTTTGCACATGAATCAGGTTTTGTTGCAGCCTCTGTGGTTTATTTTTTTTAAGCACATATAATTAAAAAAATTTTTTTATTATACTTTAAGTTCTGGGATACATGTGCAGAAGATACAGGTTTGTTACATAGGTGTACACATGCCATGGTGGTTTGCTTCACCCATCAACCCGTCATCTACATTAGGTATTTCTCCTAATGCTATCCCTCCCCTAGCCTCTCACCCACCAACAGGCCCTGGTGTGTGATGTTCCCCTCTCTGCGTCCATGTGTTCTCATTGTTCAACTCCCACTTATGAGTGAGAACATGCGTTGTTTGGTTTTCTCTACTTGTGTTCGCTTGCTGAGAATGATGGTTTCCAGCTTTATCCATGTCCCTGCAAAGGACACAAACTAATCCTATTTTATGGCTGCATAGTATTCCATGGTGTATATGTGCCACATTTTCTTTATCTAGTCTATTATTAATGGGCATTTGGGTTGGTTCCAAGTCTTTGCTATTGTGAACAGTGCTGCAATAAACATACGTGTGCATGTGTCTTTATAGTAGAATGATTTATAATTCTTTGGGTATATACCCAGTAATGGGATTGCTGGGTCAAATGATATTTCTGGTTCTAGATCCTTGAGGAATCACCACACTGTCTTCTACAATGGCTGTGTTTTCGTCCAGTAGCAATCTCCATCAGCATGGCCACTTCTGTTTGATATTAGGGTTTCGATCTCAGTCCCTGAACATTTTAATCCCTATTTGTTTAAGTAACACATTTTATTAAGGCTTTCTCTAGTACATAACATACTGACATTTAAGACAGTTATGTTGTGTAAAATTCATGGCTCCTTTCTTCTGTGGGACAAAAAGCTACTACTTTTGTTGTGGCTGACCTTCACTTCCTTCACTCTCTGTTTTTGTTCAGTATTCTCTCTGAGCTCTCTAGTCTTGTAGAATACTTAATTCCTTCTTTTGCAAGAAAAGATACATTTCCTGGATGAGTGTGATCCGACTAAAAACAAGACAAGACAAGACAAAACAAACAGAAAACAAAACAAAAACACAGAGATAAACTTACCTTCTGCTTAGGTATCAGGCTTCACTTCCCCCAAGTCCCAATGTATGACTCCCACCCCCAAGTTCACAAATTTATTGTTTAGCCACGTCAAGCAGTCATTTGATAAGCCACAGTACCACTTGAACTTTGCATGTGTGTATACGTATAATGAGTTATATAAATAGTGAAATATCAATACAGGTGGAGTTTTATATAGAACTACTAATAAATAGGAATAACAGCATGCCTATATGAAGGTTGTTTATTTATTCCTGAGTGTATATTTTACTGCAGTATACTGCGTTGCACTGTAACTAGTAAGATTTAAAGTTTGAATAACAAGTGTATTGACATTTGAAGCCTTTTGATACAGTGTTCCCCAGTCTCCTCTCCTCAGCATCTGTATCATCCATAAAAGACTTTTACTGAAAAAAAGGATGGTGGGAATAGGGACTGCATCCAAGCACCTCTGACATACTCCCTGATTGAAACCTCTCTGGTAAGAATGGCTTCACTTCAGTTTTGAACTTGTTGAGCCTTTCTTGAAGAAAGAACTAACCTCGTTTTTCATCACCACGCTTTTCCTCAAGCAATTCTTCAAGCCACAGGCAGAGTCCAACAGACCTCTCATATTTTGAAACAATTTGTTTCAAGCAGACTTTTCCATTTCATCTGATATTACATATCCCTGCTTTCCTTTAGTTACAGGATTTCCCCAAACTTCCAACTATTCAGTAAGCTACTGAGCTCACTGGGCAACGTGAGAGTTCCCATCAAATGTTGGCTTTGTTCTGCAAAAAGGATGGAAAGTGAATCATTGTTTGAAACTATATTATGTGACCTTGTGGAAGTCAAAGTTTATCTTTATATTAAATGCTGCTTTTTCTAAGAAGAGTGCTGCTTTGAGTAGCTGATCTTCCACTCACCAGGGTGACTTAGTAGTCGTTGTTAAGTAGTTCTGAACTTCAATTTTCTCATCTGGAAAATGGAATGACTGGTCAACTGCAGTTGGTGTAAGTACATACGTAATATATCTGAGACTATTCTTTTGATGAGCCATGAAGAGTAAAGAACACACCTAAAGTCGTAACTGAACATTCCTTCTGTGTTCTTGGCTTATGTAACCAATACTAGGCATAGGGGAAAAGGAGAAATACACAGGAGGCAATGATTCTGCCTGTCTGTTCCCTTCTCCTTGTCTTTTTATGGGTTTTTTTTTTTTCTGTGTAAGATCTTGTTATTTTATTCATATTTCCTGAATATACTATCTTTACTCACTTATTTCTCAAATCTAACTAGAATAAGCTTTTTACACCTGTACAATATGTTACCCTCAGAAGACTGTCCAATTAGTTAATTTTGCCTATTGAGCTAAAAATAATTGTTTCCCTAAAGATGTCATTTGTGGTATTATACCACAAATGAAAAGGACAAAGAAAGTTATTTTGGTTATGGAAGGATTAAAAAAACACACACACACACCTTATTTTATGAGGAAGATGATAGAGAGGAAAAAAACCTACTCAGTATAACAATAAATCAGAAAAGATCAAAATAGAGAGGAAAAATGCAAAAAAAGTAAGCAAAAATCAGAGATATTTGCAGTCAAATCTAAAGAAACCATATAACATGCTGGAATCTAAGGGTAAAAAAATGTAAAAATAAGACAAATTAAAACATAATTTTAGCTCAGAAACATAATTTTAGCTTAGAATATAATTATTCTAACTAAACACACAAAGGAGTGTCATTTGGAGACCTGGAAGTAAAAGTTTACTTTCATTTAATTTGGCATTTTGATTATAAAATGTCTACCATATATTAGAAATGGAGGCAAAATAGAATTTTTAGAAATGACTTGATGGGTCAAGAGTAAAATAATAAAAAAGAGAAAATGTCATTTACTATAATGACAGCATGTTAAATAGTAAACATACAATAAATATTAAGCATAAAATTTAGTTGGGGCAATAAACAATAAACACAAATAAGCTTTGGTTTGATGATATAACAATAAAATTCTAAGAAAATGAAACTAAGATAGGTGCTGTATTAGTCTGTTCTTTCACTGCTGTAATGAAGTCCTGAGACTGCGTAATTTATTTAAAAAGTGGTTTAATCGGCTTACAATTCTGCAGGCTGTACAGGAAGCATAGCAGCTTCTGTTTCTGGGGAGGTCTCAAGAAGCTTCCAATCATGATGGAAAGCGAAGAGGGAACAGATACTTTTTTTTTTGAACTTTGATGTTAAGACTTATTAAAACTGTATTGATTTCATTATGGCAGGCGTCACTCATATAGGTGTGTTCATTTGCCAGGCTTCTGTGGATTTCTGAGAGAGTGGAGGAGGAACATATATAATCACCACAAGCTCCATGGCTGACCAGCACAGGCATTAGGGTGAGAAGAAAAAGGGCAGTACTAACTTTTATGTTCATTAAGTATTCACTTGGGGAAGCCGAAGCTGGCGGATCACCTGAGGTCAGGAATTCCAAACTAGCCTGGCCAGCATGGTGAAACCCTGTGTCTACTAAAAATACAAAAATTAGCTGAGCGTGGTGGCACATGCCTGTAATCCCAGCTACTTGGATGGCTGAGGCAGGAGAATTGCTTGAACCTGGAAGGCAGAGATTGCAGTGAGGGGAGATTGCACCACTGCACTCCAGAACATCTGTGAACCAGTGGTATAGTAAAGATAGCAGTGTAGGTGGGGTGTGTGTTGTGACAGTAAGACAGACAAAAAGACAGAGATAGAAAGACAGACCAACCCTGGGAAGCAGGAGATTAATTCCACCTGTGTCTCCTACTTTCTGACACCACACTGATTATGTACTTACCATATTTTTTTCATTCTTTCCTTTTTTTTTTTTTGAGACGGGAACAGATACTTCTTACATAACAGGAGCAGGAACAAGAGAGTGGGGGATTTGCTATACACTTTTAAATGACCGGATCTCATGATAACTCACTCACTATCACAAGAATAGCACCAAGAAGATGGTGCTAAACTATTCATGATTAATCTGGCCCCATGATCCAGTTACCTCTCACCAGGTCCAACTTCTAACATTGGGTATTAGAATTCGACATGAGGTATGGGCGGGAACAGCAAATCCAAACCATATTAGATGCTTTTTAAAGCCAATCAATCTTAAACAAAAAGACAGTGAAACTGGGCAGCTGATGAAAAGAATGGAAGAGTTTCATTTAAATACTTTAAATGGAATAATCAAGACACACTCTGCTACTTGAAAAAGACAATTAGTGGTTTTGCACTATTAATATTATGAAACACTACGTATTGTGTATATAGACATTTATACGTATAATTTTTAAATACAAACACATCAAACTAATCACAAAAATTAAAAAGCTTAATATTAGTATATCTTAAACTGCTTTCAGTAATATGAGAGAAATAATAGGGACAAAATGTTTGCCCCAGACACATCTGTATTTCTCTTATTTTGCAATGATCATGCAGATATATGTTACATTCACATTGAAAAAAGTTAATTTAAACAAAAGATACATTTATACTTGTTGGCATATGATTTTTAGCTTATAGTATCTAATAATGCATATCTGTGTGATAGTAATGATATAATTTGAGTTTGGTTATAATTTAAATGGGATTCAGAACACGAGTGGTTTCTCATGCTTATATTTAAGCGTTCCTATTGCTATTTTATAATTTCAGGGCTCGCCTGTAACTTTTGAGTCAAACATGTAGATATATATAAAGATTTGTAAAGCAGAGGAATCCATCTCATTGGCCCCCAGTGATTTGTGGTACATTTGCCAAGGATATGGTTTTTTGTAGTTGTTTTTGCTTTTTTCTAAAAGCTCTCAAAAAGACAAAGAATGACATTACGTCATTATGTCATGGTAAAGGATTTAATTCAACAAGAACACCTAACTATCCTAAATTCATATGCACCCAAAACAGCAGCACACAGATTCATAAAGCAAGTTCTTAGAGACCTACGAAGAGACTTAGATTCCTACACAATATAGTAAGAGACTTCAACACCCCACTGACAGAATTGGAGCAGAAGCAGAAAACAAACATATTCAGGACCTTCTTGACCAAATAGACTTAATGTACATCTACAGGATTTGCCACTCCGAAACAATATGTTCTACATCCTCATCTGCACATGACATTTACAATAAAATCAACCACACAATTAACCATAAAACAAACCTCAGCAAATTCAAAACATAAATAAATAAATAAAATCATAGCAAGCACACTCTGGGAGCATATGGCAATAAAAACAGAAATCAATGCTAGGGAGATCCCTCAAAACTGTAGATTTACATGAAAATTAAACAGCCTGCTCCTGAATGACTTTTGGAGTCAAAAGTCAAAGTCCTGAATGACTTTTGGGTACACAATCAAATTAAGGCAGAAATTTTTTTTAAGCTAATGAGAACAAAGATACAACATACTAGAATCCCTGGAACACAGCTAAAGCAGTGTTAAGGGGGAAGTTAACAGTGCTAAATGCTCACATTGAAAAGTTAGAAAGATCTCAAGTTAACAATCTAACGTCATAGCTAGAGGAACTAAAGAAACAGAAAACCCACCCAAGGCTATCAGGAAACATGAAATAACCCAAAGCACAGCCGACTGAAAAAAATTGAGATATAAAAATCCATAGAAAACATCAATGAATATATGAGTTAGTGTTTTTGAAAGAATAAATAAGATAGATTGCTGGCTGGCCTAATTAAAAACAGAGAGAAGATCCAAATAAACACAATTTGAAATGACAAAGGGGACGTTACCACCAACTCCACAGCAATACAAAACACCAGTAGAGACAAGCAGAAACACCTCTATGCACATAAGCTAGAAAACCTTGAATAAACAGATAAATTCCTGGAAACATAAACCCCCCAAGATGGAGCCAGGAAGAAACTGAATCCCTCAACAGACCAATAACGAGTTTTGAAATTGAATCAGGAATAAAAAGTCTCCCAAACAAAAAAAGCCCAGGACCAGAATTCACAGACAAATTGTACCAGATGTATAAAGAAGAGCTGGTACCATTCTTACTGAAACTATCCCAAAAAATTGAGGAGGAGGGACCACTCCTTAACCCATTCTATGAGGCCAGCATCATTCTGATAGCAAAACCTGGCAGAGACACATCAAATAAAGGAAACTTCAGGAAAATATTGTTGATGAACATAGGTATAAAAATTGTCAACATAATACTAGCAAACCAAATCCAGCAGCACATTAAATAGCCAATCCACCATAATAAAGTTGACTTTATCCCTGGGATGCAAGGTTGGTTCAAGATATGCAAAGCAATAAATGTGATTCATTACATTAAAAAAATCCACACGATCATTTCAATAGATGCAGAAAAGGCTTTCGATAAAATTCAATACTTCTTTATGTTAAAAACCCTCAACAAACCAGGTAGTAAAGGAACATACTTCAAAATAATAAAAGCCATCTATTACAAATTCACAGCCAACATCATACTGGATAGGCAAAAATTACTCCTTTTGAAAACTGGCACAAGACAAGGATGCCCTCTCTCACCACTCCTATTCAACATAGTACTGGAAGTCCTAGCTAGAGCAATCAAGCGAAATAAATAAGTAAAAGGCATCCAAATAGGAACAGAGGAACTCAAACTATCCCTGTTTGCAGATGACATTATTCTATACCTAGAAAACCCCATAGTCTCTGTCCAAAAGCTCCTGAAGCTAATGAACAACTTTGGCAAAATTTGAGGATACAAAATTAATACAGAACAAAGCTGGAGGCATCAGGTTACCTGACTTCAAATCATAGTACGGAGCTATAGTAACTAAAAGAGCATGGTTCTGGAACAAAAACGGATGTATAGACCAATGGAACAAAAGAGAGAGCCCAGAAATAAAGAGGCACACCTACAACCATCTCATCTTCTACAAAACTGACAAAAAAAAAAAAAAGCAATGGGGAAAAGACTTCCGACTCAATAAATGGTGCTGGGACAACTGGATAGCTATATGCAATTGAAGCTAGGCTCCTTCCTTACACCATATACAAAAATCAACTCAAGATGTAACAACAACAACAAAAAAACAAATACCGTATGTTCTCGCTTATAAGTGGGAGCTAAATGATGAGAATCCGTGGACCCATAGAGGGGAACAACACACACTTGGGCCTTTTGAACTTTTGGAGGGTGGAGGGTGGGAAGAGGGAGAGGATCAGGAAGAATAATTAATGGGTAGTAGGCTTAATACCTGGGTGACAAAATAATCTGTACAACAACCCCCCATGACATGAGTTTACCTATGTAACAAACCTGCACTGTACACTTGAACTTAAAATAAAAGTTTATAAAAACATGGATTAAATATTTAAATGTAAAACCTAAAACTATGAGAACTCTGGAATATTACCGAGGAAATACCATTCTGGACATAAGCCCTAGCTAAAGTTTCATGATGAAGACACTAAAAGCAATTTCAACAAAAACGAAAATTGACAAACGGGACCTAATTAAACTGAAGAGCCTCTGCACAGCCAAAGAAACTATCAATAGAGTAAACAGACAACATACAGAATGCAAAATAAAATTCACAAACTGTCCATCTGACAAAAGCCTAATATCCGAAATCTATAAGGAACTTAAACAAATTAACAAGCAAAGAGCAAACAACCTCATTAAAAAGTGGGCAGAGGACATGAACAGACACTTTTTTTTATTATTATACTTTAAGTTCTGGGATACATGTGCAGAACGTGCAGGTTTGTTACATAGGTATACATGTGCCATGGTGGTTTGCTGCACCCATCAACCCATCATCTACATTAGGTATTTCTCCTAATGCTATCCCTCTCCCTGCCCCCGACCCCTGACAGGCCCTGGTGTTTGATGTTCCCCTCCCTGTGTCCATGTGTTCTCATTGTAAAACTCCCACTTATGAGTGAGAACATGAGTTTTTTGGTTTTCTGTCCCTGTGTTCGTTTGCTGAGAATGACGGTTTCTAGCTTCATCCATGTCCCAGCAAAAGACATAAAGTCATCCTTTTTATGGCTGCATAGTATTCCATGGTGTATATGTGCCACATTTTCTTTATACAGCCTGTCATTGATGGGCTTTGGATTGGTTCCAAGTCTTTGCTATTGTGAATAGTGCTGCAATAAACATACATGTGCATGTTTACTGGGTATATATCCAAAGGATTAGAACAGACACTTTTCAAAAGAAAACATACACACAGCCAACAAGCATATGAAAAATACTCAATATTACTAATTCTTAGAGAAATGCAAATCAAAACTTCAATACCATCTCACATGAGTCAGAATAGCTATTAAAAAGTAAAAAAATAAAATAAAATAATAGATGCCAGCAAGGATGTAGAGAAAAGAGAACGGTTATACACTGCTGGTGGGAATGTAAATTAGTTCAACTGTTGTAGAAGCAGTTTGGAAACTTCTGAAATAACTTAAAACAGAATTACCATTAAACCAAGCAATTTCATTACTGGTTAAATATCCAAAGGAATATAAATCACTCTACTATAAAGGCAAATGCACAAGTGTGTTAATTACAACATTATTCACAATAGCAAAGATATAGAATCAATCTAAATGCCCATCAATGGTAGACTGGATATATACACCACGGAATACTATGCAGCCATGAAAAATGAGATTATATCCTTTGCAGTGACATGGATGGAGCTGGAGGACATTATCCCATGAAAACTCACACAGGACCAGAAAACCAAATACCACAGGTTCTCACTTATAAGTAGGAGCTAAACTTTGAGTATATATGGATACAAAGCAGGGAACAATAGACACGAGGGCGTACTTAAGGGTGGTGAGTAGAAGACTAAAAAACTACCTATTGGGTATATGGGTATTAAATTCGTGACAAAATAATCTGTATACCAATACCCTGTAACATACAATTTACCTATATAACAAACGTGCACATGTACCTCTGAACCTACAATGAAAATTTTAAAAATGCCATAAAGTCAAAACGTATTCTAAGATAATTTTTTTATGTGGTTAGAGTAACAGAGATGGAGGGTAACAACTTACATGGTTGAAGTAAACAGGTCTGATGGTTTGATTCAATCCTAATCTAGGCATTCTATAATAAACTTTGTTATGGGTTAAATCTGTTTCACCCAAATTCATTTGTTAAAGTCCTCCCTCTCAGTATCTCAGAATGTGACCTTATTTTGAAATACAGTCATTGCAGTTGTAGTTAGTCAAGTTAAAATGTCATTGAAGTGGGCACTAATCAATATTACTGGTATCTTTACTAAAAAAAAAAAAGGGAGAATTGGGACACAGAGACAGATACATATAGAGGGAAGATTATGTGAAGCACACAGGGAGAGTGTCATGGGAAGATGATAGGAGACTGAAGTGGTATTTCTATCAGCCAAGAAGCCAATCCAGCTAACACCTGGATCATGGACTCCTAGCCTCTACAATTGTAAGATAATACATTTTTGTTGTTTAAACCACCTAGTTTTTCATATTTTGTTATGGCAATCACAGAAAACCTATATAAACACAATTTCTATTTACCATGCTTTTTATAAATATGCTACTGTGAGAATGTAGGTTTTCAGAAATACCTGGAAATGATTGTTTTTTGTTGCAAAATAATTGCAGATTCAATGTTTTGTTTTAACTTTCTGCAGTCTTTCTGATTTGCTTCACAAGAGCAAACATTTTTGTGTTTTTATTCACTGATACAATCCAAATGACCTGAACAGTGGGTTTGGCATATGGTTGGCAGTCAATAAATATTTTTTGCATGAATGATTGAATCCTCTTTTGAGAATTGAAGGGTCTAACCATTACTTCTCCCTGAGTAGACTGCTATTCAACCATATTGTGAAAGTGGGCCAAGGGTGTTCTTATCAGCAGATCCAAAAGATTTCTTCAGCAAATAATTATGGGTCAGCTCCATAAGGAAATACACTAAATTGAGCCTCTAAATTCGTATATTCAACAGAATACCAGAATCATTTTATGTTGGTGTTACATGAAACATTTGATGATCTTTGGACTCTGACATAAAAATGAATACAGAGAAATAAAAGCCACAAAGGAAGGCAAGCCTGGAAAATCTCTGAAAACACCTTTATATAATCATTTAGATGCCTGAAGACAGACTTTTTACACATCTATCTCTCCAGAAGTTATAGAAATGGCTGGGTTTACACAGTCTGGCAAATCATCAAGAAGTACATGAAAAGCAACTGTTGTTATTTCATTCCAAAAGAAAAGCATGAATGCTCCCGACTTTGGCACAGTCATTAAGCAGAAAACAGAAGAGCAATCCACACATTTGGTTTCTAGAGTCACAGTTTTGTAATAGAAAGGAGGTGATTTGAGCAGCTAGTGAATGCTAATAGCTCAACATTTTCACTGTGACTCTGTCTAACGTGGGAACATATCTAATGGAAATAAACCTATTCCATGTTTTACCTGTTATTATCTAATTTTCTGATTTGTTGAGGGACTGTTCCTGATAACCTTGATTGATGATTTGTTTTTCTTTAGAGAAACTTCTACTTAAGGAGTCAAGGCAGAATTGATATAAAGTAATGCCTGTCCAAGAGGACAAAGATTTTTTAAAAAACATAAATGAATGCTGAAAATAATATTATATTGTCATTAACAGGGTTTAGCAGGTCATAATAAAAAATTAGAGTGGTTTAGGGTAGATTATCATGCATAAATCTCATTTGCTCAATTAAAGTACTATAGTCATGATGTTGTTAGCAATAGTTTTTATCTGGTTCTGAGTAAGAGTTCTTAATACTTCCAAAACTGTTCAGAAAAAGTAGTTTACTGACAATTAAAATCATCAAACTATATAGTTTATTTATTAACTTGAAAGGCATTGTGAACTTGTGGAGGAGAGTAGAGCCTGTACACATGTATTTTTCATGTAAAACACTATAAAAAATCCAAACATATCTAAAAAATCATTTTTCAATAATGCAGACTCTAAACATGCAGAAAGATAAAAAATATATTTAAATGTTTTCAATTTGCATGTAAAAATAAGAACAATAAATATATTATTATTATTATTTCTATTTTGCGACAGAGTTTCACTCTTGTCACCCAGGCTGGAGTGCAATGGCGCAATCTCAGCTCACTTCAACCTCTGCCTCCCGGGTTCAAGCGAATCTTATGCCTCAGCCTGCCCAGTAGTTGGGATTACAGGCATGGGCCACCACGCCTGGCTAATTTTTGTATTTTTAGGAAAGACGGGGTTTCACCACGTTGGCCAGGCTGGTCTCCAACTCCTGACCTCAGGTGGTCCGCCCACCTCGGCCTCCCAAAGTGCTGGGATTATGGGAGTGAGCCATCGTGCCTGTCCTATATTGGCCTATATTGTCCAGGTGCAGTGGCTTCCGCCTGTAATCCCAGCACTTTGGGAGGCCGAGGCAGGCGGATCACAAGGTCAGGAGATTGAGACCATCCTGGCTAACATGGTGAAACCCCGTCTCTACTAAAAATACAAAAATTAGCAGGGCATGATGGCAGGCACCTGTAGTCCCAGCTACTCAGGAGGCTGAGGCAGGAGAATGGCGTGAACCCGGCAGGTGGAGCTTGCAGTGAGCCAAGATAGCGCCACTGCTCTCCAGTCTGAGCGAGACTCCGTCTCACAAGAAAAAAAAAAAAAAAAAAAGATAGTGTTATAGACAAGCATATGATTTGGAATTAGGCAGAGGTGGGTTCAAATATTGGCTTTATTTACAAGTTATTCAGCTTGGTCATATTATTTTACTTCTCTGAGCCACTTTTTTCTCTTGTGAGAAATGAGAACAAATACGGTGTTCTCCACTTGTCTGCAGGGCAAATGTTCCAAGGTCTCCAGTAGATGCCTGAAACCACAGATAGTACCCAAACCTCTATATACAGTACTAGGTTTTCTTTTTCTATACATACATGCCTATGATAAAGGTTAATTTACAAATTAGGCACAGTAAGAGATTAACAATAATAATAATAAAACAGAACAATATAACAACATACTATAATAAGAGTTATGTGAATGTGCTCTTTTTCTCAAAATATCTAATTGTACCGCACTCACTTATTTTCAGACTGCAGTTAACCACAAAAATTAGCTGGACGTCTTAGCAGGTGCCTTTAATCGCAGCTACTCGGAAGGCTGAGGCGGGAGAGTCTCTGAACCAGGGAGGCGAAGGTTGCAGTGAGCCGAGATTGCACCACTGCACTTCAGCCTGGGCAACAGAGTGGACTCCATCTCAAAAAAAAAAAAAAAAAATTAGTTGTAAAGTGGAGAACTTTAATTTGAATATTTATATGTAGACAAAACCTTGGCTCCCTCTGTTCTGTTCCTGGAATTTTTACTATACTCTCATTAATAAGATAAAGACAGAGAGGAAAGTAACCATTCAATTTACAGCAGCACTTTGTGCGTCCAAACTCCTTACACAGTCACCTCATTCATGGAGGGATGGAATGGCATATTTTATGTACTTTTAAAAAGGTATGTTCCAAAATTAAGTACATTGCCTAAATTTGGGTTTTCTCAGTGTCCAATGACCAATGATCGGTGTAGAATGAGACATTAAAAGGTTCTAAGAATTTCCCTGTAAAATCTGGAGATGATATGGTGATCTAGTCTTAGGCAGAGCTGGCCCATGTTTGCATTTAGAAGAGGAATTCAGTAGCAGAATCAGTGACCACAGTATGGGAACACAATCACTCCACATTCCTACTGGTGTCACTTACAACAAGTTGCTGAAAAGAATCACCAGACATGAATTTCCTCTCAAGTCCAGATGGAATAATGATATCAAAGGAAATAATATATTAAAGGGTTCATCATAGCTCTGTTATGCAACAAACATTTAATGAACGCTAATAATAAGTAATGAGTAAGCATTTAGCAATTAACAATTATTAAACTTACAATAAAATATTTTTATTTATATTAATCTACTCTAATCAGAAATTCTCAAGATGTGTAGGATTTTTTTCTGTCCAGAGTTCCAGAAATGTAGCATTATTTTACTTAAAAGCATATTTACTCATACCTGTGTAAATGGGGCATGATTTTTGAAATCTTTCTAAAGTGATGTCTACAGCCATAGCAAACATAAGTATGCTGCTGGTAGCAGGACATAGGTAAAAATTATAAAAGAGTTAATATGTGAATTTATCATGAAAAAATCTTCCAGAGTACAATCATCACATGATCTTCCAATAACAGGAAAATAAATAGGTTTTAAATTATTGCCAGAAAATGCATTAACATGATGAGATGAAGTCTCCCACTGTTAGAGTAGGTAAATAGGCTGACATGAACCAGGCAGGAGATGTCCTTCCACCCCCAGGAACATCAGGTGACTATCAGGTGATGGTCAGGTGGTTGTTAAACTGTCTCTCTAAAATAATAATTGGTTATAGCTGGTGGTAGGTAAAGACAGTCTCCCAATAGAAGAAAAACACCTGAAGCTGGTGATCGGCAACTTTCTGATAAGATTGCAGGAGTGAGGCGAGTGGACTCAAGCATGAGCACTAAGAGGTAAAATGGTGGAGTTTAACTGGTCTATGACATTCCTCTAGGGATACTCGACTGGTAAGGGAAAAACATCACAAATGAGCATGCACACAACTTCCATAACCACACTGTGCATGTGGCCCCTCCCAAGTGCTGGCAGGCCACTGCCCGTGCAGACAGCCCACCCCAGGGGAAGAATAAGGGGAGAAGAAACACAACCCCAGCATCATACCACTGTATAATACCCCCAAGTCAAAAACTACATGGCATATTTTGAACATTCAAGTTGCCTGCTTGGCCTTCTTCCAAGTGTACCTTACTTCCTTTTGTTCCTGTTCTAAAACTTTTTGATAAACGGTCACTCCTGTTTGGAAACTTGCCTCAGTCTCTCATTCTGCCTTATGCCCTTGGACAAATTCCTTCCTTCGAGGAGGCAAGAATTAAGTTGTTGCAGACCCATATAGATTTGCTGCTGCTAATGCCACTATAATATGAAGAAATTTGACATAGAAATGTAGGGGCTGCTTTTGGCCCAATAATTTTCTATCTCTTCAAAGATACATAATATGTTGTTTGCTAAACTATTATATACAAAAGTTGTAAAGAGTGTCTGTCACTAGGTGGACACTAAAAATGACCAGCTACTGTCATTGTTACAATGCACTCAACAAATATATGTTTAAGGAATAAATAAATACATGCATACATAAATAATGGTTGGCTAGGTATTGTTGAAAAAATTTGTTTATTATATTTATGTTTTGGTGTTGTCCACTTGAGTAGAATAAGAATTAATTTATATTTTGTTTGTTATATCAAAGGGCTTTGGTGGAGGCATAATTAAACTGCATCACATTTACAATGTTTAATTTAACTCTACTTCAAGCTTGGTGACTATGGAAGAGGCAGTGGTATGACTATAATATTTGCATTTGCAAATATTCTCAAATATGCTTGAAGTTTTATTGTATCTAAGGTGACTCTTCCATTCCAGGATTTTCCAACATCACTTGCATCTTGAGAGGGCTAGAAGACATTATTTTGATATGCTGGCCAGTGAATCCTAGGATGAAATGTTCTGTGGGGCATGTGAGAAAGCAGAATTTCAGGTAAAAGGGGATAGGCATGATTTCCAGTATCCTTTTCATTTTTCTCTCTTCCCCTTTCTTTTACCTTGAGTGATTACTAGTGTAAATCAAAATGTAACTGAAGTAGATTTCAACTGAGTCAAGATTATTTTTCCAATGTTGAAGATGTGCCTAGGAAAAAGAAACACAGGTTACAGCAGGATCTGTGCACTGTGTTTTTCCAAAGAGGGTTTTGGAAACTTCAGTACTTAAAGGGAAAAGAACAAGCTAGAGGAGGAAAGCAAAAGCGAAAACATAAATAAATAAGTATAAATAAAGAGGGCAGAGGGTAGGCACTGAGGCAAGTTTTTACATTCTTCTGAGGCTTTGATTAGCACCCAGTGAATCTACATTTTACATATGAAAAGAAAGGGGTGAGGGGAGTGGATTATTATGCACTAGTCTCATTGGCAGTACATCTACATTTTAGTTAAGATAAACCAAGCATGTAAAATTATAGCTGTTTGGGAACAAAAAGAAGGTAGTTTTCTGCATGACACAATTCCCAAGCTTAACTTTGTCTTTGGCACAGTGAGTTTAGGATTTTAAGATTTTATTCTTCATTCACATTAGTCATTAACAAGCATATAGAGAATATGAGGCAAAGATTTTACCAGAATCATAAGGTGAGCTGGTAAGCATTTTCCTCTTTTATGTATACTGAAATAATTTTATAAGATTAAGATTATTTTTATTTGATTATTTTATAAAATTGACTGAGTATTTGAAATTTTTGGTGCCTACTAATGAAACTGATGATTCAATATTGCCAAGAAGATAAGGAAATTTTTATTGAAAAGGTGTGGAAATGTATACATTCCTGGAAATTACTCACTTGTCAATTTTAAGTTTACTATTAGAGGTATTTCTATTTAATATCTATTCAATATTCTGTTCTCTTTTATATTCCCATTATTTAATTTAGCAATATCTTATTTTTAAATTTGTCTTGAGGTTTACAAATGTTACTAATCCTTTCAAAGAACCAAATTTGGTTTATTTTTGAACGAGGAGAAAAGAAAAATCCCAGTCAGGCAGGCAGTTAGGGTGGGTCCTCAGTGGAATCTTTTCAAACAAAAGAACAGCCTGCAGGCACAGATAAGGGAACTTGCACAGTGCTTGCCTAAGACATGCCCATAGCTGCACAGATAAGAAAGTCTACATAGGTGACTTTTCCAGACATGCCTGCAATGGAAATTCCATCCCCTGACAATGCTCAGTAAGGGGAACAAAGCAACATGGAGTAACTCATGCTAAGGGCCTGCATGCACATTAGGTGGACAGGGTAGAGCTACCAGAAGTTTGTGCCTTATGCAAATGAGATGCCCAACCCTCTATGGTCTCCTGTAAAAGTCTTTACATTCAACTGCAAAAACAGCAACCCATTTGGGCCCCCTCTCTGCTGTGGAGAGCTTTCTTCTTTTGCTTATAAAACTTTCACTTCGAGCTTACACTTTGTATTCATGCTCCTTACTTCTCTTGGTAGTGGGACAAAGAACTCCAAGTAATACCTCACAATGAGAGACTGCTACATTGTGGTACATTGACCAGACTAATATTTTTCCTTCTCATCTTCTTTCTCCTTTTTTTTCTTCTCTTCCTCTTCTCCTCCTTCACGTTTTTCTCCATAATTTTCTATTTAAATAATTTATGCACTAATGTATTAAGTCTTTATCTTTTTTCTATAAGTTAATTTGTTGCCTTTTCTCTAACTTCTGAATATGAACCCTTAATATTTTAACTTAAATTTTATATTTAAAGTTAAAAATTATTTTAATACATTATATTATTTGCATCACACTAGTTTCAAGATGCAGTATTGTATCTTCATTGTCACGTGATTCAAATGTATTAAATATTACATTTATCTACCTGTTTATTATTTAGAATAATTTCTTTTATTTATATTTAGTAATATCTTTCACTGACTAAATACCAGGTATTCATGGAAATGTCATGTTTGTGATAATAGTGCCACATAATTCTGAAATATTCTGTACATTGTCTAAGGTCTTGTAAATTTTTATGGTGGTGTATATTAGACATTTTATGTATATTACACAAAAGTATAGAATTATACAAAAACAAAAGCAAAAATCAAAACATCTGGGTGATAGTCGGGGTGTTGAGTGTGACAAGGTACCATTAATTAACTGTATTCTTCTGGCTATGTTATTACATTTTTGAATCTCATAGTTTTCTTAGCAGAAACTAAGATAATATTCCTCAGGATTTTACAGAAGTTTAAATTAGCTAATTTACATAAAATTACTTTTTCAGCTATAAAATATTATGAAACTTTTAATCTCAGAAAATGACAAGTTTCAGAATGATGAAAAGCTTGAGGTCTTAGTAATTATAGGAATTTCATGATGGACATCTAACTGTTGATATCAGAGTGAAAAGTGGAAAGTTATCACCCTAGTCCTGCCTGTCATATAGTGTGACTCAGAAAGTGCAGATTGAAACATGATTGAAATGTTATGTAGCAAGGGTCTTCATAAGAGGGAGTTATCAATACTGCGAACAGTCTAAGGTTTTACATTATTTGCAAGACGACAATTAGCTTCCCACAGTTTCATAGAGGCTAGCAAAAAACATGGCACCAGGACCAGAAGAAAAGTTAGTTATTACTCACTGAAAGCAGCATAAACTTCATGTTCATATTACTTTCTCTTGTCCCTGCCTCTAATTCCTTTGGAGGCAATGAGGGGCACCCCAGTTGCTATACATATGGTGGGATTGGGTCACAGCTGGGGAATACTAAATTTAGGAAAACATGAATTATGTAGGGGTAAGAGCAATCTTGCCCAACGTTTCTCTGGAGAAAGGGAATATCTTTATTATCCTGATCACAAAACAAAATTATGGTTTTTGTCCAAGAAGGACGTACTATGTTTATGTTCCAATATTTACTATACAAACAATTTTTAGATAAACAGTCTGAAAAAAAAGCTGCCAATGGCTTTTCACAAGACATTTGGAGGTGCAAGACACACAACAAGAATTGTCCCTCAGCAAGAGTATTCAGGACACATATGCACATCAATAACAATAATAATTTTTATTGTAAATCTTATGGGTGCTTTTCCTGGGAAGTATAAACAATTAATAATGGCTATGTAAGAAATATTCTGATAACTAAGTTTTGACATTTATTTCTGTTTACTAATAAGTATGAGAATCTCATACATGAATTAAATTACTGGAGAGTTAAGAAATAATCACAATTTATGAAAAAGTTTGACATTTATTTGTAATTTCTAAATGAAATGAGATTCACCATTACTCGTGTACTACTTATCTTGAAATAAGATTCCATCATCTATGACATTTCACCTCTCAGAGATGGAATAAAAACAATCTAAGTGAATGTCTTCTACTTGTAAAATCTAATAGTAAGTACCAATTAATATAAAGGACACATTTCTAAAAAAATGTTGATGGCTTAATAAGAGCATTTTAGACCTTCTTAGTACATAGACAATTAATCTATATTAAAATATAAATCACTGACAAAAGCGTATCACCAGTCAGTATAATGTGTATTACTAATTGCTCATTTCAAGAAATGTTCCAAGTGTAGGAATTTCTTTGATATTTTCCTCAAGCAAGGCAAG